>NT_187519.1:0-151943 GCF_000001405.40 Homo sapiens | reverse complement strand
TCCTTAATGAATGCAATGAAATTTCACCATGACATCACATCATATACAAATAATTATGTCACTTAGAGGTTAGCGAAAATAATACTGTAATTGTTTTTTCTCATTTAAGTTCATGAATATGAATTTAGTTCTTAAATTCATTCTCTAAATGAATTTAGTTCTTAATGCATGAAAAACTGTAAAACTTTTACTTAAAAAATACAGACAAATATCTTTCAATATTGTACTAGGGAGTGATTTCTTAAGAGAAACACAAACTTTTGGCCTTAGAAAATTGAGACATTTGAGTATATTAAAATTAAGGACTTTTTCTTTATTAAAAAATAAAGAAGGTAGAAATACAAGTTACAAACTTTTGCAAAACATACAGCCTATGAAGGATTAGTATACAGTATATATAAAAAACTCCCTCCAATCAATTAAAAAACACAATAGAAAAATCTGCAAAGACGTGAACAACATTTCACCAAAGAGAAAATACCGAGGCGGGCAGATCACCTGAGGTCAGGAGTTTCAGACCAGCCTGGCCAACATGGTGAAACTCCGTCTCTACTACAAATAAGAAAATTAGCCGGGCGTGGTGGCATGTGCCTGTAATCCCAGCTACTCAGGAGGCTGAGGCAGGAGAATCACTTGAACCCGGGAGGCAGAGGTTGCAGTGAGCTGAACCCACACCACTGCACTCCAGCCTGGGTGACAGAGTGAGACTCTGTCTCCAAAAAAAAAAAAAGAAAAAGAAAATACTTAAGGCCTACAAAACATGAAGAGAAGTTTAACTTAACAAGCATTCAGAGAAACGCATGTCAAGACTACAGTGAGATTATAATCATTCAATTGTTGACATGTTAAAGTCTTAAAATGTTAAGTATTGGAGGAAAGGTAGCTACATAGGCTTTCTTATGTGTGGTTGGTGGAGGTTAAGTTGGTGCCGCAGCTCTGGAAAACAGTTTGACACTATCTCCTAAAGTTGAAAATAAAGACATCACATGATCTAGCAATTTTCTTGCTAGTATATGTACAAGAAAAACCCTTTCCCATTGACAGTAGAAGTTACATTTATAGTAACATTGTTGACAGTATCAAAAACTTGGAAACTGTTTACATCAGCTGAAAAGTGAATGTATAAACTGGTATATTCCCAAATTGAACAATAATAGAGTAATAAAAAACTCAAAGATATAAAGGAGTTTCTTCATAAAAGAATGGTTATTTCAAATACTACTGTGGAAAGAGGTGATTTATGAACAACACACAGAGGTGGTATAGGCTTAAGGGCTGGGTAGAGGAATAATGTAGAAAGAAACAGTTGACCAGAAGAGATTGATCATAGATTAATATCTGTGGATCCCTGGATTTAGGAATAAGATCTTGAGATTATTATGTAAGAATATGTATGTTTCTCATGGTACTGAGTAGAAAAAGATCTACCTGGTAGAAAAGTATGCAACTAGCCCGAAAGTTACAACTGAAGTATACTAAAACGTTTTACAGCATACTTGATCTGTCCTGGCCTAATAGTTGATTTGTTCTTGGTATCAGGAAAAGAGCCTATTCTCTAAACTTACTCATAATCATTCTGTCCCGATGTCTAGGAAGACAAATTTCTCCAAACATAATAAAAAACTATGTGGAAGAAGTGTATGTTTTTAAAGAGAATGGAAACATCTAGATTGATAGTTATCTCAAGGTTGATATCAGGAATTTATTTAATACTTTGTGACAACAAACTAAACTTCATGAGCAAAGAAAAGAGAAATATCCTATTCTGTGTTGCAATGTTTCCTTAGACTCTCCTGCCCTTTCTCATGCCTTCCTAATTTGTATATGTCTTCCATCCTTATTTGATTGTTTTCTTAAGGCCCACAAAAACCATTTTGCTTATTTATCCTTTCCTTGACAATGTTATTTTTCACAACCTAAATAAACTTTTATTACCCACTAAATTCAAATCCTTGTCATTCTGAAGTTAGTTCACGTTTTTCCATGATCACTTCCTTATTTATGCCACTCATCAATGAACTCTCTTTCATTAGAATTCTTTTTTTTTTTTTTTTTTAATTTTGAGAGGGAGTCTCGCTTTGTCACCAGGCCGGAGGGCAGTGGTGCTATCTCCGCCCACTGCAACCTCTGCCTCCCAGGTTCAAGCAATTCCCCTGCCTTAGCCTCCCGAGTAGCTGGGACTACAGGCACGCACCAGCACGCCCCGCTAATTTTTGTATTTTTAGTAGAGATGGGGTTTCACCATGTTGGCCAGGATGGTCTCGATCTCCTGACCTCGTGATCCACCCACCCCAGCCTCCCAAAGTGCTGGGATTACAGGCGTGAGCCACTGCGCCCGGCCTCATTAGAATTCTTGCAGCACTGAGTCCCAAAATTTATGTGAACGTCTCTTGTTTTGTAGGCCTTAGGCTTTATGATAAAACATGTAATCGTATTCCCTGTATATTACCGTCACCTCTCCCAGTGGTCTTTAAACCTTTTTGCCTTCTAGGGCCTTATTTTCTGTTTTCTTTCAGGCTCTGGATATAGTACTGACAATATAAGGAGTTCATTTTGAAACCCACAGCTAGACTCAAGTTTTGACCTTTTTCTACCATGCTTCGTTAGCTTTGCCTTTCATGATTTGGCCTAGGGCTTGGCAAACTTCAGCCCATAGGCCAAATCCAACCTGTCACTTGTTTTGTAAAAGTTTTGTTACAACACGGCTATGTCCACATGCATAATTTGCTCATTATTTATGGCTGCTTTCACTCTGCAAAGGCAGAGTTGAGGAATTGTGGCAGAGACCCTATGTCCCTCAAAGACTAAAACCTTCACCCTCTGGCTCTTTACAGAGGTTGGTGACCCCTGGTTTTGCCCATGCATCTCAACTGGGGTAATACCAACACTCAGTACAAAAACTTACTATTTTGTGTAAATTTTTCAAAATGTGTGTTTCCCACTAGACTCTTTGCTGAAGAACAAGGATTGTACTCTTCTTGATTTCTGTATTCACATTACTTAGACCCTGTGTCCCTCAAAGACCAAAACCTTCACCCTCTGGCTCTTTACAGAGATTGGTGACCCCTGGTTTTGCCCACGCATCTCAACTGGAGTAATACCAACACCCAGTATAAAAACTTACTATTTTGCGTAAATTTTTCAAAATGTATCTTTCCCACTAGACTCTTTGCTGGAGAACAAGGATTGTACTCTTCTTGATTTCTGTATTCACATTACTTGGTGAAAGAATAAATAATAAATTTAGTACTCTAAGTTATTTGTATCTTCTCTTTTATAATTCAGTTGGAAGTAAGAGAGACAGGATCACAATATTAATTGAAGATAAACTGAGGATAAAATGGATTGTGTTTGGAAACTGATATGACCAAAATAATACGGAAACTTTGACAAGTTATTTAATAATAAGAACTCCTTTGTTAATAGTGTTTCTTTCACTTTCTCATTTTAGTTACATATTAATTATATTCTTCACTGGTTTATAATTAAAATAAGCATAAATACTAACTGCCCCTAACTATAGTGACTTGTGACTAGTGATCTCAGTAGTTATACAATACAGGGGTAATATTTTAATATCTACTTTTTTCTTTGGCTGTTTCAGGTCATGGGAGATAATCTGCTGCTGTCATCCGTCTTTCAGTTCTCTAAGAAGATAAGACAATCTATAGATAAGACAGCTGGAAAGATCAGGTACATGTACATATAGCTTTAACTTTAATATCACCTCACTTTGCTTTTTGCTTTTTCTCAAGGTTAAAAATGTATCATCAGAATGAATATGTTTACCTTTGGAAAAATTTGTCCCAAAGTAAATATCTATCCAGTACTACTTTATAACTTTAAATTTATTAGTAATTCAAAACATAAATAGACTTACAGATTTTATTCAACAGTACTTCAGAAATCCATGCTGCTATTGCTTATTTCTGATTCCTATAATTAAAATTTAAAATGTAATGAAACAGTATTTGAACATGGTTTGTGAATTGTAATATTCCACACAAATATAATTCTATATTGCTTATATATTGAAATAATATATTTTATCAGCATTTGATGAGTACCAAGAAGCCATTAAATTTTTTCAAAAACAATTTGAAAAGCACCATTTGAAAATTAAAGTATTCTTAAAAACAGTCTATTTAACTTAAAATAATCTGTTTTAAGTTACTGTAAACGAAGTTCGCATCATCTTCTAGAAAAATTGAGAAATTCAGAAGGAAATGTAGAAAGTTGGCCTATATAGGTAAATTTTACTTGGCATGTTAAGAAACAGAAAGAGCTTTCTTTTTATCTTGAGCCTGTATCTTAAAAATTTCTTAAAGGTGGCCGGGCATGGTGGCTCATGCCTGTAATCCCAGCACTTTGGGAGGCCGAGGCAGGCGGATCATGAGGTCAGGAGATCAAGATCATCCTGGCTAACACGGTGAAACCCTGTCTCTATTAAAATTCAAAAAAATTAGCCGGGCGTGGTGGCGGGCGCCTGTAGTCCCAGTTACTCGGGAGGCTGAGGCAGGAGAATGGCGTGAACCCGGGAGGCAGAGCTTCCAGTGAGCCGAGATCGCACCACTGCACTCCAGCCTGGGCAACAGAGTGAGACTCTGTCTCAAATAAATAAATAAATAATAATTTCTTGAAGGTGTACCAGACTTTCTCTTCACTTTATTGCCTCCTAAAAGAATATTAATTTAAAATTCCTTATGTTAAAAGTAATGTATTCTGCACCGTCTTGTCCCATTTTTCTATTTATTTTAAAATGTGTAGCTTTTTAGCAAAAGTAATACATCAACATGGTTAAAAAATATGAATATTCCAGAAAAATATTTATTATATCTAATAGTGGGTGTGTTTCCCCACTCTGGGTTCATTTCTCAACCGTCTATACAAACTTGATCATATTTTATCTACTTTTGTACCTTGATCTTTTCTCTTAATTAGATCTTTACTTTCCCCAAAGAGTATGAGTGAAATGTATTGACAGACCCCTCCATATTTGATTGGCATATGAGGCATGCTGCCTTAGTGAAAAAATAGCTGAGTCTGGGTGCAGTGGCTCATGCCTGGTAATCCTAGCACTTTGGGAGGCCAAGGCAGGCGGATCATTTGAGCCTAGGACTTGAAGACCAGCCTGAGCCACAAAGCGAGATTAAAAAAAAAAAAAAAAAAAATTGGCTGGGCATGGTGGCACATGCCTATAGTCCCAGTTATTTGAGAGGCTGAAATCGGAGGATCACTGGAGCTCATGAGTTCAGAGTTACAGTGAGCCATGATCATGGCACTGCACCACAGCCTGGGCAACAGAGCAAGATCCTATCTCAAAAAACAGCAATAGAATGTTTAAAACGTTTGGCTTTTCGTAAAGAGTACCTTGTACATATAAATAATGTTGAAGGTGTTTTTAATGACTACCATTACGTACCTATCCATTGTTTTTTTAAAGGGAATTTACCTTTATCAATTCCCATATATTCTTATGAATTTTAAATAGACTTAATTTTCTACAGAATAATATTTTAATATTTACTTAACAAATAAGTATTAGGTACATTCTAGGTACTTTATAATTAGACATTGACAAAACAAAGACCCCTGTTCTCATGAAATTTACATTCTATATCATGTAAACCAGTCAGCTTGTATTAAGTTAGCTATTTCTGCTATCTACACATGATTTGACTTAATTTCATTATTTCACTTGAATATTACCTGTATTTTACTACCCACATTTTCTATTTCCACTTGAAGCCCAATAACCTGCATCAACTTTTTCTTATTATTAAAATCACTGGTTACACTGATGAGATAAAAAGTATAATAACAATATTAATTTCAGGTATAAATTGGAACCTTATTAACTAAAAAATTTTAAGGCTTATAATTGATTTTAGAGAAATTAAATTAGTTGAATGCTGTTTATAAATACCACATTTTATAAATCCTGATAGGGCTTATAAATGAGTCCATTGTTTTTCTTTTACTCACACTCAGTGATTAAGTAATTAGCACCCTGTTATTGTCTTACGTGAGATATAGTACATGTTTTCCCCTAGTGACTCCATCATTCCTAGGTTTACTTCTTTCACAAGTAAGAGAATCCCCTTCACCGTACAACCCATTCACCTATGATTTGCTAATATATCCTATGGCCAGAGACAAATGAAGTCCACCATTCCCTGGGGTAAAGCCTAACTGAAATTTGTAGGGAAAAAAATTTTAAGCTTAACTTACTAGTTTTTACACATGAATAAACAAATCTATAGGCCTCAATCACACAGCTGCTTATTAATATCATGATTTGGCTCAAGCATTCATTGTAGTTAAATGTAATATATAATTGTTATCATTTTTATTTTAGTTCCACTAAAATTATTTTCTAAAGCTGGGGCATTATGGAAGGATTATTAACCAAAGAAATAAATAAATGAAATAAACATTGGTTAAGATCATCTTATATGGGAATAAAGTCTCCAGACTCATTCATTCATTGAATGATTTTTGACTGTATGTTATTTGTCTAGCACTGTTTTTGATGTCCTCACATTTGAGTGTAGAAGGCAGGTAAACAGTTAATTATAGTTCAGTGTGTTAAGGGAAATATAGGATGGTTACTATGGAAGCCCATAGCAAGGGCACTTGGGAAATTCAGAGAAGGGCTCTTAGAGAAATTGCCATGCAATTTAAGTCCTGAATGATGAGGAGAGGAGTTACTCAAAAGCTATGTGAAGTGAAAGGGCCAGAGTATGGTGAGAGATGACACTAGAGAGATGAGGATGGATCTGTTTTGGCAGAATTTGTTAAGGAGTTTGGATTTTATTATTAAAAACCATAGGAAGCTAATATATCCAATATGGGTCCTCTTGATACACCAGTGCTATCTGTAAAAATATCATGAGAGTCTTGTATGGTCATGTGGCTTGCACCTGGAAAACCCTGGAGTCTCCTTACCTGTAAACAAGTACACAGTGTTTTTTCATCCTACCTACTGAAATACAGGTCCGTCCCTGCTAACTGGAGTCTTAACCACTCATTCATTTATTCAGCAGATGTTCACAGATTACCTGCTGTGTACCATTCTCTTCCTTACCACGGAGCAGCTTTCCTACGTTCTGTAGTCTCCCCCAAAGAAAAATATTTTTTGTAGCTTTGACATTGAACTAAAATTGAGAACAAAGAAGACATTGCTGATGGATTGATAACCTGTGTTGTCTCAGAAAGTGACAGAATTTATAAAGTTTAAAAAAGGATGCATAAAAATGCCTCAATAAAGTTATACATAAATACAGAATGTTTAATGTATTTGAATTGCCTTCAGTTCGAGTGTTGAGTTTTACTATGCATAAAGCACTATGGCAGGCTTTATGGAAGGTAATGAGGATAAAACCATTTCTATTATTAAAGAGTTTCCAGTGTAGTTGGCAAGGTGAGGCACATATGCAATCAACTGTCGTACAAGATAGCGTATAATAGATTAGTGCTCAGTTAGAGATATAAAGGCAAAGGAAGGATCACTTTCACCTAGGAGGTTTAGGGAAGGCTTTGGGAAGAAGATACTATTCAAAGGTAGGTCTGAGTTGTGATAACCAAACCTAAGGGGTAGAGACCTGGGCCTTCTGCGTGGAAAGTGCCAGGGTAGTTTGAGAATCAACTGGTCTTTAAGCTTTGTGTCAGGAGTTATAACCTCAAATGTCTACTGGGGTTCATCCTAGAGGCATGCGTACTTACATTGTATGAACACTGTCTGTGGAATCCATTTTTAAATATTTATACAGGAACTCCTGTTGTACAGCATTCTCATTGCATTCCATGTGAAAATGACCCCCTTAGGTTGTGTAGCATGGCCTTGCATTGGTAGACTCTCAATTCGCAACTCCGCGTTCGCATGTTTTAAGGGCTAGTACTAGGGAATTGGTTATGGCTCATAGAATAGGAGCCTGAGACTTCTGTTTGTTTCCCTAAAACCAATGGCTTTATCAAAAGTATTTTAACTTAATTCTTAAATTATTGAATGAAATAAGCTTTGGAATTTTATGTATTTTCATGCTGAAGTTTAGCTTATTTTGAATCTATAATATAATCTGAATATCACTTTGAAAGCTATGATTTTTTCAGCTTAAAATTGATAAGGACCTTCAAACAAAAACAAGTTCTGGTCATTATAGCCTGGTCTAAACTAATTTCTTGGTCTGGTTTTCTGATTCTCTAGTATTTAAATATTAAATATTATAGTAAATATTATAGTAAAGTTTATTTCATAATGCCAAAATGACAAGTTTGACTTCTTAGATCTGTTCTATTATATATTACAAATTGTTTTTTGTTTTTTTGTTTTTTTGTTTTTTGTTTTTTGTTTTTGAGATGGGCTGGAGTGCAGTGGCATGTTCACAACTCACTCACTCAGTGCAGCCTCGACCTCCCTGGGCACAAGCAATCCTCCCACCTCAGCCTTCTTAGTAGCTAGGACTACAGGCATCTGCACCACACCTGCTAATTTTTTTGTATTTTTTATAGAGACGAGGTCTCGCCATGTTGCCCAGGCTGGTCTCGATCTCCTGGCATCAAGTGATCCACCCACCTTGGCTTCCTAAAGTGCTAGGATTACAGGCATGAGCTATTGTGCCTGGCCAACAAACTGTATTTTAAAATAAACCATTTATTTCTTCAGGGGGGCATTTTTTTTTCAGGGGCAACCCGTGAAAAACCCATTTTCACCAAAGGTGAAATGTCTATGGTTTAACAGTTTTAGATCCACAAACACTATACTCAGTAGCCATCCTCTGGAAAAATTCACTGAATTTTTAGCACTGTGTGGCTAAACAGAGTCTTTCTCTATTGTATAAGTCCATTACAGTTCTAAGCTGGTCCATGAAATAGTCATTATTTCCTTATTTTCCATCAGTCCTAATGCTGCAAGGACTCTTTTACAAGAACATAATAATTTAGAAAAGATGGCTGGCAAGGGTGTTCATTTTTTTGAGTTTAGAAAATTTAATAAGTAGGCCATAAGAATATTCTTATACCAGATTCTAGACCCGTTGCCACCTTAAGCAAATGTTCCAGACTTGATGTGATGTTAATGAGTTTCATGTTTTTAAATAAGGTAAGTCTGGCATGTTGATCTTTGAAGAAATACCAGCACAAATATTAACTTAGTTTACTACTTAAATGCTGATCAGCTTGCAGTAGTAATACATTTACATGAGGTTATATAGTGTTGTTTAAACTAGATTTCCAGGCTTACTGAAAAAAATTTAAAAGAAACCAAAAAAGTAGCTAGTATTTACATCTAAGACTGCTGAATCATGTCTGATAGACTCTAAAGTGTTAGAAAAGTGTCCCACATTTGAAAGACACGTCAAAATTTTGTGGTCCTTTATTTTATAAGTTATTTGATGTTAGGGTAATGATAGGATAATTATCTTTATTGGCAATTGTTTTTATCAAAAGGGTAGCATCCTAATTCCTAATAGGTTATTATGTGCAAGTATACTAACACGAATTAACAATTGTTAAAGAAAAGCACAGTAAGTACTCCCAATTTTTTGTCTTCAAAATAATATACACACTTTTCTTGATCGATAAGGTGCTTATTCCCATATAAAGAGGTCTTAACAGACACAATTGTTTATACCTAATTCAACCTATTTTCATCTCACTTATTCCTATACTGCATATATTCTGTCTGAATAAAATTGCATTTTCTTTATAAGTGACAGTTACACAGTCTTTTCTCCTTATACCCAGGTGATACATGTTGTTCCAAGATACCCACTGGATGCCTGACACCACAGATAATTCTAAAACCTAATATACTGTGTATTTTCCTACACATACATGCCTATGATAAAGTTTAATTTATAAATTAGGCACAGTAAGAGATTAACAATAGTAACTAATAATAAAATAGAACATTTGTAACAATATACTGTAAAAAAAAGTTATGTGAATGTGGTCTTTTTTTTTCTCTCTCTCTCTCTCCCTCTCCCAAAATACTGTAATAGTTACGGACCATGCTTGACTGCCACTAACTAAAACCATGGAAAGAGAAACTGTGGATAAGAGGGCATTACTGTATTGTAAATTATAAATATTAAAGTTTTGAGGTCATAACATCATTTACATTTGTTTTATATTTTGTTTTCAATAAAGAATAAGATAAACAGTAAAGAATTTATGCATGTATTAATAAGCATTCAATTGGAGCTCATACACATGAATTAATTGGTACTGTTGGCTTAGTATTTTAATTCTCAGTTTATGCGGTGGTTGGTTTTTTTTCTTTGTGTACCTTTGAAAAGATACATTGCTTTGGTATTATTAACAAAAAAGTAATAGGTTTTTAAAATATAAAAAGTTATATGCTTATGTTTTTTGATTTATAGAATATTATTTAAAGACAAAGATCGGAATTGGGATGACATAGAAAGCAAATTAAGAGCCGAAAGTGAAGTCCCTATTGTGAAAACCTCAAGCATGGTATAGTAATTTTTCTTGAAGATTAAAACATTTTAATAGAGTTTTATTTTAAGGAAAAGACCCTTATTTTTGAGCTGTTCGTTGATTTGCTTTTTCAAAAGAAGATATAAATGCAAAATTTTGGGAAATTTTATTTCTTCTACTGACTCACAGGTTTAAAATGTTGATTGTTTCAAAGTTGCAGAGGGTATGAAGGAGGAGCCTTTTGTGTTTCTTACTAGTATAGATTGTTCTTGTAATAATTAAACATTAGAAACATGAAATTTTTAAAGAGAACCAAATCTAACATGAAAATATTAAGTTGACATAAGTCGTTTCCGTTTACTTAATATAATGCTTATCTTCTTTTTAAAAGAATTTGTACAGATTTTCATTGCTCAGAATATAATTATAATATTGAGGTTGCAGTTTATATGTTTTTACAAAGATAATTTGAAGGCATTTTTACATAGTTATTGCAAGGTTGATTAATAAGAATTTTAAAAATCTTTGCGGCCGGGTACTGTGGCTCACGCCTATAATCCCAGCACTTTGTGAGGCCAAGGAGGGCGGATCACTTGAGGTCAGGAGTTGAAGACCAGCCTGGCCAATATGGCGAAACTCTGTCTTTACTAAAAATACAAAAATTAGCCAGGCATTGTGGCGGGCGCCTATCATCCCAACTCCTTTGGGGGCTGAGGCAAGAGAATTACTTGAACCTGGGAGGAGGAGGTTACAGTGAGCCAAGATTGCGCCATTGCACTCCAGTCTGGGCGACAGAGTGAGACTCGGTCTCAAAAAAAAAAAATCTTTGCTTAAATAGTAGTAAATGTTAAACTTTTCATCTGCTACAATCATCTCACTGAAAAAGTTATTGTATTTCATTTTAGTTTAAATATTTTAATTTGAATCTTGTTTGCTAGATATCATAATTATTTCATATCATGTTGCTATTAATGTAGTAAGTACCATGTAGATAATATTAAGTGTTCCAAATAAAGTGAGAGTGAAATTCATTGCTTGTAAAGTGATAACATTTAGCTAAAAGTAGGCTAATTTTTGTTATTGCTTTCCCTGCAGGAGATTTCTTCTATCTTACAGGAACTGAAAAGAGTAGAAAAGCAGCTGCAAGGTAAATTTACTACTGAATTAAGTATAAAGAGCTAATAATTTAGAATAAGTGCCTTCTGAGTGGTATTTCTTAAAATATTGTTAGGATGTTATTTGATTAAATGTAATGACATACATAAAATACAGAGTTCAAACATTCACATTATTCATAAAAAGGAATTTTTTTAAACCCAGTATAAAAATTTAAAATGTAATAAAGATATATGTTGGGCATATTTTAGTTCATAGGTTTGACAGTAGGCTAGATGTCATAAACTAATTGAAATTTTTTATGTATTACATATAAATAATATGTGAAAAATATATAATAAAGTTGTGTTAATTAGCATTATTTGTGTGATTTGACAGTTCTTAAATTATGTTGGTGGTGTAACCTGAAACAAACTTACATTCTAATAGAAATAATAGTTGTTTGGTTGACAAGAAATGAGTACATATTGGCCATAGAGACCAGAAGAGAAAGGAGAGAAGAAAGTGAAAGAGGCTGCCCTCTAAACTTGTCAGAGCTGGGCTGTGCATTAATGCCTATGTATGTCTTGACCCAGAAGTCCCCAGTGGTACAACAGGCAGGTTCCATAGTCAACTGCTAATTCTACTGAGTCTTTATCTATCGAATAATCATAGGTACTTATGTGGATCCTATCAAAATGATTTTTCATCTTTATTTAGCCCCAACACACCTAAGGGTTATGGTACACCCCATGAGTAAAAGTGGCTTGCTAACACAGTGCTTGTTAGCTGGTAGACTGGGGGTATACTTTTAAAAGTCCCTTCTACATGATTCTTACATCTATGTTACTTCCTTCTCCCAACTCCCTACTCTGCCCAATGCCAAATTGAAAATCACCGCCTGAGAACTTTCCATGTCAACCCAAAGATCTTTTGGACTGAAAGCTGACCTTTAACTGACCCCTTCCATATAGGCAGCAAGTCTGTTTGGCTTTGCAAGCTGCCCTGTGATATTAGTCTGTAGGCTCTGAGGGAACCCCTGTATCTCAGTGGTGTATACAGCTGATAACCCTAGCACTCTGGCCAGGCTAAATGACCGTATTCTATGGTAGCATTCAAAGTATGCTGATGTTCTTCTGGCCTCTCCAGCCTTGAGGTTACTCTGAACCCTGACTTAGCAGCTAATACCTCAGTTATCTGAGTGATGTGGGTTTAGATGTTTATTAAAAATCATATTCAGTATTTTCTCGGTCCTCTCACAATAATGAAGACAAATTTCAACAAGATTTTTCTTGAATTCCACATCTTCAAATACCAGACTTACAAGTCTCTGAAATGCCCGTAAGTGCCACATCAAAGGACCCAGAGAAAGTATTCAGGGCTGGGTGATTTACAGTACAGCTACAGAATAACTAAGAATGGAGTTTTAAATATAATATTGGAAGATTAGCCACATTTAAGATCACATACGCACTGATAGTTTAAATATTATCCAAATCATGAACAGTGTTTATATGTGAATGTAACTGCATCTAAAATTATTTCCTTTTCCCGCCCTTTAGCAATCAATGCTATGATTGATCCTGATGGAACTTTGGAGGCTCTGAACAACATGGGATTTCCCAGTGCTATGTTGCCATCTCCACCGAAACAGAAGTCCAGCCCTGTGAATAACCACCACAGCCCGGGTCAGACACCAACACTTGGCCAACCAGAAGCTAGGGCTCTTCATCCTGCTGCTGTTTCAGCCGCAGCTGAATTTGAGAATGCTGAATCTGAGGCTGATTTCAGTATACATTTCAATAGATTCAACCCCGATGGGGAAGAGGAAGATGTTACAGTACAAGAATGACTTTCTCTTGATTGTTGAAAAATCATTACCTGTGGAATGGCTAGGAATATTGGAAGCAGCATAGTGTTGATGTACGCAAAACAAGACAGCTTGGTCAGCTACAATCTTGGAATCCCTGTCTTCTTAATTTTATTTATTTATTTTTGACGTATAATGTAGTATATCAATCCTTTCAAACTATTTAGATAACCACTTGATGCACAAATAGGAAAAAGCAGATTGTGGCAGTGTCGCCTTTTGTGGTTTTATGATTTTCAAATTGAATTTAATGATTACACCCTTTCCCTTCATAGATCTTTTTTCTTTTTTTTAAGCCATGCTGTGACCTACAAGCAAACTAAATAGCCAACATTTCTGAACCCCTAAGTCTCCTGTGCCAAGCTGCTCCCTGAAATGGACTTCTTCATCTGTACAGATTTGTTAAACCATTCTATTTGCTTCTTAATAATAGGATTTATATTAGTACTCATTACCATTGGACACAATGACATAAGTACTCTCCACAGTAAAGCAGACCTTTCACAACAGTCACTCTGTGTCCTAAAATTTTCCAACATAGATGTGATTTATATAACTTTGTTGATACGTAAATTGTCTTGGGGTTTACGGAAATTAACTATTATGTTTGCACTAAGATTTGCTGGGAGTGGTAGGTGGACATATCTATATATCAATAAGGACTAACCGTCTTTTTTGTACATAGGAGATTGATAATACTGTATTTGTTTTAAGCCCACAGTGTTTTACTCCACTTTCAAAAAGATCAATTTGGCACTTTTTTTCATTTTTTTTAATGGAAATAAGATTTGGTCTCTCATTTTAGGTTAAATGATAACTAGAAAGATTAAACTAGACAGATAGTTTAGGTGGAGTATATTTTTAAAACTCAGAACATGTATATTGGTCCTGTGTTACCAAGTTTATATGTGACAGTTGAAAAAGAAATTCCCTTGAAATGATCATGAGGTTAAAATTTTCTTCATTAGGGGACTTGGAGAACCAGTAGTCGTAAGATTAGTTGATAGTTTCACTCCCAAGCAATGAATTGCTTCTGTGTGTTTCCCTGTAGGACTCAATAGTAAATGCTGTCTGTCTTACACATTTATAAGGACCCTGCAAGACGACGACAAAGGCCTTTGGCCTGTGCTACTAAACAAGAAGCCTATGAAAAATTTCTTCTTTAAACTTGTTTTTTCTCTTTCCAGTAAGTTCACATTTGGATAATTTTAAAAAGAAAAGTAATTACCTTTGTGTTTCCAGAACACTATAATTGGGGTGTATCTTAATTCAGTTAAATATTATTAGTAGACCTGGATTTTCCCCCTTGACCCCATCAGTCTATAAAGGTTAAACTGCAACTTTTATGAAATGGTCTTTAATATTTCCACAATAATCCTGTGCTATATTTGTTTTAAGAAACAAAGTAACTCTATACACTTCAAGACTTTACAGGATTTTTTAAATCCTGTATTGTTGGATCAATTAATAAAGATGCAAAAAAACTTTATAGAGATGTAAAAACAAAACTATAATGGATCTCCTATTTTTCTTTAAATACAAAAAAAAAAAGGTAAATGAACTATTCTCCTTGTAAAGCTAAATTCCCCATTCTGTCTAATAAAGGAAGACTGAAAAAAGGTTTTAAAGAACATAAATGGAAAGATACAAATGCTTTGAAGGAATAAACGAAATGTTAAAACAGGGTCAATCCATTTGAAGAAAAAGTTGGACAAAATAATCAGCATTGCTCCCTCTTTTATTTAATATTTGGGTACTGATTATATCCACATGGAAGTAGAAGGTAAGGAGTTTAGGAAAATACTAGAATCTACTCTGCTTACATTCTTGTTTAAGTGTTTACACAGTTTGGTTCAATTATAAACATTTGGCCTTTTACTATGTTATTTTTATTTTGTATGAATACATTATCCTCCTTATTTATTTTTGTTACATTTATTACTTATGTTATTTTGTTATGCATTTACAACTCCATTTTTAAATAAAGTGTTTCTGGAACTTTATACAATGATTGTATATTTTATTTCTTTTACCATCTTGCTTGCTAATACTTCATCAACTTATCAAATGATTATAAACCATTTCCCAAGGCTTAGCAAAAGAAAGAATCCTCCAGTTCTATTAATATGTGGTTACTGTGAAATCTCTTATTAGTTTGACTATTTAAAGAAAAAAATTTTCTTAGCAGATTCTGATCAATATAATTCACTTAGCTTCATGTCCTAAAGTAATGTGCATGTACAAGGTCTTTATTTTTAACCAGCTTTAGATCATCAGAAAGCTTTATGACAGTGATGTATTTGGGGAATAAAGTAGAAATTTAAAATACTTTTGTCATCTTAAATTCAATAACTGTCAATTTATACTGTTTTTTTTTTATCCTATCAAGCTCAAGAATCTTGAATGTCTCATTATTATTATTCAAAATTATAAGTTTCACAGCTTAACCTTTTGAGACTTTGTGTGTTCTGGCCCTTTTCTTACGTGCGTATCTATGTGTCCCATTATAGTATCTACCACCATTTACAAGTTTCTTGACCACCATGAGCTTTTCATCCTTCTGTACCCTGCGTCTTCCTCCCCTTCCTTCCTGCTTCAAGGTCCCACCAACCTCTTCATAAAGCTTCCTCCACTTGACCGCACCACAAAGGGCTGTGCCACATGCGTGCATTTTCTCTTCCCTTCCCCCATGACATATACACGTTTCTTCCCTGGTAACTAAAGTAATCTTCATTTCCTGGATAGTCCCTTTGCTTTGAAACATCTGTGCCGTTTTGTCTCCTTCATCTCTCCTTGGATTTGCTTGCCACATCTCTGCCTGAAAGGATTCTAACTTGGAAAGGAAACCAAACTTGGAAGTTTGAGATCCAGACCCGCTCCCTCCTAGCTATCAGTGTGTTCCGTCCTCCCATCTGCAAACTTAGGACACTAGTGTCATTATCCAAGTCCCTTTTAGTCTAAGTTGTCTATGACTTTATGAAATGTTCTCCTTCAAAAAGCTTTTTCTGATTCTTTGTCATTTCAAATCTTCCTTTTCATTGTGTTTGCATAACCCCTTTGTGTTTGCATAATACAGAAAGTTCTTAGAAACCAAAATAAAAATGTATTTAATTGAATCAGCATCAATTGAGATGTACGTACTTACTTTCAAGAAACAGTCTATTGGGAGATGGCTGTGTAAACAATTCACTCTAAGGTGAGGTAGAATGGGATCTCTACACGTAGGAGACAAATGCAGCCTTTTTTTTTTTTTTTTTTTTGTCTTCTATGTTTAGGTAAGGGGGACAGGCAGGGAGCCAACAACCACAGGCATCTGGCTGCCAGCAAGGGTTTGGGGGAGGTTTATGAAGCGTCTTTGTCTTTGAGTGATGGTCTCTCATGTGACAGTAGTCAAGCCTGCTTCTTCCTGTAAGTCTTTAACACGACACAGTTGTTTACATGCTTTCATCACAGTTAGTTTCAAAAACTACATGGTTGCTGTTTTTGTGTTTTACCCCAGTGCTCTAAAAGCATCCTAGCCTACGTACAGAAATGGCTCAAAGCCTCTTAAATGGAAATGGAATTGGTTATGTTCATTCTTTTGCTATTTCACTATTACGTTTGTTGCTGCTTTTCCTGAATCTTGACCATAAGGAAAAGTTCCCCGTCAGCCACATTCTGTCTCTAACACCTCACCACCTGGAACAGATTCTTGTTGAATATTTAGTTGTCTTTAACTCTTGTGCATCCTGCAATGTACAACAAACATTTTGTAGATTTTGTTAATTAAAATATTTTAGAGTTATTATGACCACTATAACTTACTACTGCTACTGTGAGGTCTAACCTTGAACTGAAGGATGAAAAATTATTTAAATTTTGAAGCATAGTACATTAGCTCTAGAAATGCTCAACACTAGTTCAGCAACGTCATATTTAGAGTAATTGAAACAAATATAACAAGGAGTGAGGGGCTGTTTTTTCTAGGCAGTATAATAAATGCTTTACCTGCACTGTCCCTTTTAATGCTCACACCTCATTAATAAGCTGTTACTCCTGCATTAGAGATGAAGGAACTGAGGCAGCAGCCCAGTTGGGATTTGATCAACACGTATTTGACTTGGAAATCCAAACTGTTTATAACCATTCTCCACGGGCTGTCACCCAGCAAACAACTGGTAGAGCCTAGACAAACCAAGTGACTTGTATTCACCCTTTACAGCTTTGTCTCGTGACCACAGACCCGAAGAGGTCACCAGGCCCTTCCTCTGCTTTTGAGTAGAACTTCTAGAGCTGGGGATCCTGACATTTCTCCTAGTAAGCTTCTCTACTGATGACAAGCAATGACCAAATGCTAAGAATGTCTTTGTTATGTGAAACAGATTCTTTGAAAGAGATAATGAACTGTCTCCTTGAAAGCTGGATGTTGGGTGCTTCAGGAAGAATGCTATGAAGAACCACGTCGGTTTATGAGCTGACTGTACTCTCCACTTGTTTTAAAGAGGTGAAACCCAGGGCTGCCAATAGAAACTCTGGTGACTCCACATCAGAGCTACGTGACCAGTGAGCTGCCTCCCAAGGTATTTGTTACAACACTTGTCTCTGAGCAAGGCCAAATAAAATGGAGTAAAAAACCACCCCTTGGACTAACAGAGCATGACCATGGAAATTTCTCAGGACAAACAGTGGCTGGAGTGTAGCAAGGCAGAAAGCAGCATGGTCTTAACCTGACACTTAGAGATAAAACAATAAAAAGTGTAGGGGGCTCCTATGCCAATTTGCAATAATGAGCAAGGGTAGTGACAGTTGGATTTTTCTTGAATGAGAAAAATTTCCATCAAATTTGAAACGAAATAAACACACAAAGTCTCTGTGCTATTTCCGTGGTAATGTTTGCACCCAAGTCTCTGGAGCTCTGGCTTCTCACTTGCTTTTCCATAGTGTCTACTCGGTGATGAAAAGCAGCATTTCATGGCCAAGACTTTCAGCTGTTTGGCAAAGACCATCATGTCCAGCATATGGAGGATCTGTGAACTTTGCCACGTCTGCTTCCTGTTACCAGTCTGTCTATGTTTATAGCCCAGAGTCTTCCCTTCGAGAGAAAAAAAAAAATCAATTTACCCTAAATTTTAATTGCCCTATAAGACTTCATAATATGAACAGCATTTTCAAAAAGGCACAAAGAAAAAAATGGTACAACCACTTTGGAAAACTAGAAATTCCTTATTAATGTACACCTACCACACAACCCAGCCATTCCACTCCTAGGTATTTTACCCAAGTGAAATAAAATCATATGTCCACAAAAACACCTGTACACAATGCTTATAGAAGCCATATTTGTTATAGCTGGTAACTGGGAACATTCCAATGTTCACCAACAAGTGAGTGGATCACAAATAGGATGTATCACAAATAGTGAAACATTCATAAAATGAGATTCCGTTCAGCAATAGAAACGAACATGCTACTGACACACACAGTAACATGGGCCGATTTCAAAAACGTGCTGAGCTAAAGCAACCGACCCAAAAAAGGGCATGCTTTATGAGTCAATTTATGTGAAATTCTAGAAAGGACAAAACACTGATAGTGACTGAGAACAGATCAGTGCTAGTAGGGTGGGAGGTGAGAGGAAATTGCCTACAACAAAATCACAAGCGAGTTTTTTGGGCATGGCGGCAGCTATTCACAGGAGTGAGTACATGTCATGAAACTCACCAGGTACATTTAAAATGATTCTTTTTATCATATGTAAACTATTTCTAAATAAAGTTGATCCATGTTAAAATGGCATGGATAGTTCTCTGTAACTTTGATGCACATAATTACTTCCTCAAACTGCTTTTTGGGGAACATGTCACCTCTTTCTCCTGCATTGCTGTACTGATTCTTAGCTCTCCAAAGCATCCTATTACTAGGAAGTGTCACTGTGACTTTTCCAGAGCTACTGCTTTCCTCTCCAGGGTCAATTTAGGAATCAAGCAGCTTTCAGAGGGAAGAAGTTGACTTTCACAGGACAAAAGCAAGCAATGGTCATTGTGAAGGGCCATCATTGAACTGTATTCCTTTTCATTTAGCTCCAGCAGGTGTAATAAAGTGTGCTAACAGACTGTGGTCAGCTTGGGTTCCGTAGTCTACTATTACCACTTGGAGAGATCCCTGGTTCCTCATCCACACCACCAACAGATGAGCACTAGGCTGACTGCTGAACATATATGCGGTCATTTATTTAAGTATCTCTATGATCAAGCATATTAGGTAATCATCATCTATATATTCACAGGAATGAATATAGTCCTTGTCCTTAACGAAGAGGAAGTTCAAACCCTACCACAAGAGGCAAATACATAATTTTAACACAATTTGTGAAAAAGTTTTCAGCCCAAATTGCTCCCTTCTACCTAGCACTAGGCTTAAAGACTGACCAAACTGGTATTGAATAAATGTTTATTGGATGGATGGATGGATGGATGGATGGATGGATGGATGGATGGATGGATAGATGGATTAAAAGGAGCAAGCAGGCCGAGCATGGTGGCTCACGCCTGTAATCCCAACACTTTGGGAGGCCAAGGCGGGTGGATCACGAGGTCAGGAGATGGAGACCATCCTGGCTAACATGGTGAAACCCCGTCTCTACTAAAAATACAAAAAAGTAGCCGGGCGTGGTGGCGGGCACCTGTGCTCCCAGCTACTCGGGAGGCTGAGGCAGGAGAATGGCGTGAACCTGGGAGGCAGAGCTTGCAGTGAGCTGAGATCGCGCCACTGCACTCCAGCCTGGGCGACAGAGCGAGACTCTGTCTCAAATTAATTAATTAATTAATTAAATAAAAGGAGCAGGCAGAATTCTGATCTCAGTTGTGTCTGAACTAAGATTATGCACTTGGGGCTGGGCACAGTGGCTCACACCTGTAATCCCAGCACTTTGGGAGGCTGAGGCGGGTGGATCACTTGAGGTCTGGAGTTCGAGACCAGCCTGGCCAACATGGTAAAACCCCATGTCTACTAAAAATACAAAAATTAGCAGGGCGTGATGGTGGGTGCCTGTAATTCCAGCTACTCAGGAGCCTGAGGCAGGAGAATCACTTGAACCTGGAGGCAGCGGTTGTGGTGAGCCGAAATCATGCCACTGGACTCCAGCCTGGGCTGGGCAATACAGTGAGTCTCTGTCTCCAAAAAAAAAAAAAGAAAAAGAAGATTATGTACTTAGTTTGAAGGAAAAGGCTTCAGGGAGCCCCCACTATTACAGATTCTGTCTACAAATCACATGGGCCTTTCCTTGGCCTCCTCTCTGGAAATATAAAGTTCCTGCAGAATCAGCAATTTCTTAGTAATTCAGTAGTTTGGTCAGATGTTCCCTCATTGGAAGGAGTGGCAACAACCCTGAAGGACACCAAGTGCTAGCAGGTAAAAGGGCAGACGACGGGTGAGCGGGAAGGTGGGGAGGCAAACTTAACTCATCCACAGCTTTCTGAGAACAGCTGGGAGGGTAAGAGGAGGTGAAGCTGCCTACTTTCTTTTGATATTTCTAAGTACATGCCCCCAGATCAGACCTCAGGTCACCGTATCAAATTATAATATTTGGCTGATGTTCTCTAGAGACTCCTTTGTTTTATGTTGTTTTTCCAGACATGCAGTTCCAGAAGAGTCCACTGTGCTTGCCACCATGGAAAACTGGCCAATGGCCTGAGTGGGATTTACTTTTAGCCAGGTTGTGCTAAGCTGTATGAAAGCAAATATAAATTTCAAAAAAAGAGCCGGAAGACAAAAGTACTGAGCCTCATGGCTTGGATGCAGAAACTGATATTTGTATCAGGAATCTGCTCTGTTGGAGAGAAACTGAAAGCTCTAACCTATTAGATCTCAGAGGTCTCCATATTTTGCTTCTCATGAAAGCACACTAAATGCACAGTCAGTATTTTAAAATGAGCCACACAGTGGAATATTACTCAAATATAAAAAGAAATGAAGCACTGATACATGATCCAACAAGAACGAACCTTGAAAACAGTACGTCAAGTGAAAGAAGCCAGCCACAAAAGACTACAGATTGTATGATTCCATTTATATGTAATGTCTATGAGGGAAAATCTGTAGAAACAGGAAACAGACTAGGGCTGACTATGGCTGGGCATGGGGGGTAGAAGTGGGAGGTTAAGAGTTACGGTTAAAAGACACAGAGTTTTTTTTGGCATCATGAAAAGATTCAAAATTGATTGTGGTGATGGTTGCACTGCTTTGTAAATACATTAAAAACCATTGAATTGGCCGGGCGCGGTGGCTCACGCCGGTAATCCCAGCACTATGGGAGGCCAAGGCGAGCAGATCACAAGGTCAGGAGTTTAAGACCAGCCTGACCAATATGGTGAAACTCCGTCTCTACTAAAAATGCAAAAATTAGCCAGGCGTGGTGGCACTCGCTTGTAATCCCAGCTACTCAGGAGGCTGAGGCAGGAGAATCCCTTGAACCCAGGAGGCAGAGGTTGCAGTGAACCGAGATCGCACCACTGCACTCCAGCCTGGGCGACAGAGCGAGACTCCATCTCAATAAAACAAAAAAAACCAATGAATTGTACAATTACAACAGGTAAATTATTGCCTATATATTTATAACAGGTATGTGAATTATCTCTCAATAAAATTGTTAACAAAAAAAGAAAATAATGAATGATGCATCTTGATATGGTTTAGCTCTGTGTCCCCACCCAAATCTCACTTTGAATTGTAATCCCCATTACCCCCACGTGTCAAGGGCAGGACCAGGTGGAGGTCATCGGATCATGGGGGCGGTTCCCCTAAGCTGTTTCGTGGTAGTGGGTGAGTCTCACGAGATCGGATGGTTTTATAAGAGTCTGGCAATTCCCCGTGCTTGCACTCATTCTCGCTCTCCTGTCACCCTGTGAAGAGGTGCCTTCTGCCATGGTTGTAAGTTTCCTGAGGTTTCCCCAGCCATGCAGAACTGTGAGTCAATTAAGCCTCTTTTCTTAAAAATTACCCAGTCTCAGGTATTTCTTTATAACACTGTGAGAATGGATACATGTCAGGTGAAGACGCAACCGGTTACGGTGCCATGAAAGTGGCCAGTTTTGCATTTATTTGCATTCCTTCTTGCCTGCATGTCCTCTAGATTTTCCTTTGTATTGGTTTTAACATGCTATTGGTTCCCTCATTAATTAATGAGTTAAATAAAATCTTGGCTATATGTGTTCGTTTTTTTTTTAAAAAAGCAAATGGGATATTTCTCATGAAGAGTTTTAGTTTATCAAAATGAATCATACTGGAAGAACTGGAAAGAGTATTACTATCGCCACTCAAACAAGCAGCTACAATGTGCTGACACTGTATTGGGTCCTTCAGTACCTCATTTAATCTTCACAATAACCCAGACTCTTACACAAGAATTCTTAGTCCTATGTTATAGAAGAAGTAGAGGCTAGAGCCAAATAAAATACTCTAGGTTACAAAGTAAGGGAGAGAGTCGAAATCTGAACCCTGGTCCAACTGACTTCTTCAATCCTCTTTACTTTCAGTCATAAAAAGACAACATATTGTAATTATAGTAAAAAGCTAATTGGTGGTTAGGAATCTTGCAGCTAAACTTAATGTGTTATTGGTTTTGTGCAAGTGCTTTCAGCTGTAGCCTCAGTATTTGTAAAATGGGGTGGAGGCGATGTTGAGTAGTTGAGCTCTAAGGTATCTTCTTGCTGTATTAGTGGCTGTTCTGTGGACTTCAGCTATTGTTCTCTTCGCTGTCTTCCCCCAGATTTCTGGAAAAAATGTTTTGTTAGCTCTTTGTCAGTAATTCTGCCTCTCTTCCTGTTCTGCTTAATGAGTGACTCCCCAGGTGTTTACTCTTTCGTCCAGAAGTTTTTCTTCTTTCAGCTGCTTCTCCCAGAAATGTTCAGTCCTATTGCTTCACCATAATGTTTTGCTCATTTCACTTCTGCCCACGTAAAGGCTGCCAGTGATTCAGGCTGGATCAGTATATCCTGGTGATTATGGTATCATTTCCAGGAAAAGGGCCAAGCACTTACCGAACCCCTTCGTTATGGCAGGTGCCGTGTGGCCAGTGCAGTATTGTGAAAGTTTGTTTTCCCCATGTTTCTCCCTTTGGCTAACCCAATTGCTCATGCATTGCGGGGAGAGATGTGGCAGGGTAGAAAGCAAAACCCACTGCAGTTCACTCTGGTTTTGAGATTTTCAGGACCAACGCGCTTAGTAGAATGTATATGAGTTTTTTTGAGATGGAGTCTCACTCTGTCGCCAGACTGGAGTGCAGTGGTGTGGTCTCGGCTCACTGCAACCTCTGCCTCCAGGGTTCAAGCGATTCCCTTGCCTCAGTCTCCCAAGTAGCTGGGACTACAGGCGTGCACCACCACACCTGGCTAATTTTTTGTATTTTAGTAGACACGGAGTTTCACCATGTTGGCCAGCATGGTCTCGATCTCCTGACCTCGTGATCTGCCTGCCTTAGCCTCCCAAAGTGCTGGGATTACAGGCATGAGCCACCGCGCCCAGCCTAGAATGTATATGATTTTTTTAAGAGAAATGAAAAGGAAGCAGATTCTCATGCTTTGATAGAATGTCTTAGCTGGATGTGAAGAAAGGATTACTTCCACACTAAAAAATGAGGATCCTAGGTCCCCAGAGAGGTCACCGCAGAGCCACTGGGGAGACAACGTCCCGAGAAAAAGCTGCAGCAGAGTGTGCCTGGGCAGCTGGGGCTGCGGGCAGCCTGGGAAAGAGGCCCCTTGGCCTGATGTCCACATGGAAGCAGCAGGGACCCCTAGGACTCACGGGTCAGGCTCCCGGGACAACAGGCTCTCCAAGGTAACTCCTGTGCAGAGCTTGACACCGTGTGGGAGTTTGTAGCATATCTCGGAGGGGGCAGTGGGATACCTCGAAAAGATTGAATTCAAGCATCTTCCCAGTCTGCTGTGAAGGGGAGTTTGAAATAAAAATTCAGCTGGTTTAGAGAAAATGTGATATTTTGTGCATATCCAAGTTTCTGTATTGTGGATTGATACATAAATATATATATGCATATGTAAAGAGAGATAGCTGTTTATATATATTTATATAGATCTATCTATAGCTATACCTCTCTCTGCATATATATACATAACTCTAAATATATACGTGTGTGTATAGATAGATATACAGATATATGTGGAGAGAAACAGAGCCTATATCTAGGTAATCTAACCTTAACCTTTAACAAAATACTGATGTAGTTCTTTTTCTTTTTTCTTTTTTTCTTTTTCTTCAGAGGCAGGATCTGGCTCTGCCACCCAGGCTGGAGTGCAGTGGGGTGATCATAGCTCACTGTAGCCTCCACCTTCCTGGGCTCAAATAATCCTCTCACCTCAGCTACCAAGCAGCTGGGACTACAGGCATAAAACACCATGCCCATCTAATTTGATTTTTGTAGAGGTGGGGTCTCACTATGTTGCCCAGGCTGGTCTCAAACTCTGGAGCTCAAGCAATCCTCATGCCTTGGCCTCCCAAATTGCTGGGATTACAGACGTGCACCACCGTACCTGGTCTGTGAGGCAGCTCTTACTGCCATTTTCTGGGGTGAGGAAACAAGCCCAGGCAGATTTGGTTATTTACTTCTCGCCCCAAGGCCAGAGGAAGCAGAGCCAGGGTTTCAGCCAAGGTCACTTCCTTTGGGACAATCTTGCAAATGGAGGCCAGGCAAGGTGGCTCACACCACTAACACCAACATTTTGCGGGGGGTCTAGGCATCCAGATCACTTGAGTCTAGGAGTTTGAGACTAGCCTGGGCAACATGGTGAAAACCCGTGTCTACAAAAAATACAAAAAAATTAGCTGGGTATGTTGTTACACACTTGTAGTCCCAGCTACTTAGGAGGCTGAAGTGGGAGAATCACCTGAGCTGGGAGGTCCAGTCTGCAATGAGCCCTGATCACATCATTACATTCCAGCTGAGGCAAGAGTGAGAGCCTGACTTTAAAAAAAAATGAATAGTGCCCCACTTTCACTCCCCGAAGTGTTTGCATTTGGTTAACAAATTTTAACTTCATCCACATTTGATGACCACAGCGCTCTCCATCACTTCCTGCTGCCTCATTTTCGAAAGCAAAGAGAGTAGGAGGAACCCCTGGTGCTTGGGGCACATGCCCTGCAGGGTGCATGCCCTTTACAAAGTCATGGGAGCTGCGGCTCCAGGAGTCAGACATCGAGCAGCTTGGAGCATTTGGCTTCCTTCCTTTGCGTGCCTGGAGCATTCACAGAAAGCCTGCACAGCAAGCGAGAGAGTGCTGGGGAGGGTGGAAGCTGTTTGGATTAGGGTCCCCAGGGGTTTTGTGGTTCAAAGCAGGTGGAGCACATTTTGAGGGCCTGATGATGTATACCATTTAGGAAGCCATTTAAAAGACAAAGAATACAAAAGTATGAATACAAAATTTGGCAGTAAAGTGAATATTTAGAGACTAGAAGTCACAACAAACCAAAAGTTTCAAAAAGCTGGGGGGAGAAAAGCCACAAGATCACCAAATCCAGGAAAAATAAATCTCTACAATTTTTCCTGGATTTAAAAAATTTTATTTTCAATTGACAAAATTCTGTATATTGTTGGCAACATGTTGTTTTGAAATATGTGTATATTGTAGAATGGTTATTAAATTGAGCTAATTAACATATGCCTTACCTCACATACTTTTCATGTTTTTGTAGTTCAAACATTTAAAATCTACTCTTAGCAATTTTTAAGAATACAATTATGTTGGCTTTTTTTTTTTTTTTTTTTTTTTTTTTTTTTTTTTTTTTGAGACGCAGTCTTACTCTGTCACCCAGTCTGGAGTGTAATGGCCCGATCTCTGCTCAATACAACCTCCACTTCCCAAGTTCAAGCGATTCTCTTGCCTCGGCCTCCCAAGTAACTGGGATTACAGACACGTGCCATCATGCCTGGATAATTTTCGTATTTTTTTTTTTCAGTAGAGACCCAGTTTTGCCATGTTGGACAGGTTGGTCTCGAGCTCCTGACCTCAGGTGATCTGCCCGCATCAGCCTCCCAAAGTGCTGGGATTACAGGTGTGAGCCACCACGCCCAGCTCAATATATTGTTATTAACCAGAGTCACCATGTTTTACAATAGACCTCTTGAACTTATTTCTTCTATTTCACTGAAATTTTGCATCCGTTAACCAACATCTCCCCAGCCACCCAGCCTCTGGTAACCACCACTCTACTCTCTGTTTCCATGCAATCGACATTTTTAGATTTCACATTGTATAACAGTGAAACAGCAAAAGAACATAACTAACTCCATTATTGTTTAAGGGGCCTTCACCCATTCCAGCATATAGGCTAGGATAATTTTAGAGCACGAGATAAAACACAAAAACAGCCATCTGAGATTAAAGGAGAAGTATGTAAACTACATTTTGTTAAAGATTTATAGGAGTGGAGCACAGTGGCTCACACCTATACTCCCAGCACTTTGGGTGGGAGGATCACTTGAGTCCAGGAGTTCAAGACCAGTCTGGGCAACATAGTGAGACCCCATATTTACAAAAAAATGGAAAAATTAGCCACACATGGTGGCGTGTACCTATAGTCCCGGCCACTGGGACTGAGGCAGGAGGATGCTTGAGCCCAGGAACTTGAGGCTGCAGTGAGCCATGATCATGCCCCTGCATTCCAACCTGAGTGACAGACCAAGATCCTATTAACAATAAAAAATAAAAAATAAAAAGATTTATAGGAGCATTGTGACCTGACCAAAAGCTAAGACTTTCCCCACCTTCTAGGGCCCTTACTGGCACCCAGATGTCTGTGGTCAACAGTCACCTATTGATCCCATGCCCCTCCTCTTCCTTCTGCTCTTAACATAAAAAGAGACTGAAATTTATCCTGACTTAAGGTGGCACTTTAGGATGCTATTATCTTCTTGGTTTACTGGCTCTCTGAACAAACCTGGCTTTTGTCCCACCAACACTTTTTTTTTTCGAGATGGAGTTTAGCTCTTGTTGTTGCCCAGGCTGGAGTGCAATGGCAAGATCTGATCTCTTGGCTTGCTGCAACCTCCACCTCCCAGGTTCAAGCAATTCTTCTGCCTCAGCCCCCCAAGCATCTGGGATTACAGGCACGTGCAACCACGCCTGACTAATTTTGTATTTTTAGTAGAGACGGGGTTTCATCATGTTGGTCAGGCTGGTCTCGAACTCCTGACCTCAAGTGATCCACCTGCCTCAGCCTCCCAAAGTGCTGGGATTACAGGCGTGAGCCACCACACCCGGCCTGTCCCACCAACTCTTGTATCTCATGTTTGACTTTTGGTGAGTACCTGAACCTGGGTTTGGTTACAACACATAAATGAGATCATGCAGTATTTGTCTTTTTGTGCTTGGCTTATCTGACTTAGCATAATATCCTCCAGGTTCATCCATGTTGTCACAAATGACGGAATTTCCTTTTTTTAAGGATGAATAGCATTCCACTGTGTATATATGCCGTACATCCCACATTGTCTTTATCCACTCATCTGCTGCTGGACACTTAGGATGCTTCCATATCTTGGCTATTGTGAATAGTGCTGCAATGAACATGGGAGTGCAGATGTCTCTTCAACGTACTGATTTCACTTCCTTTGGATAGATACCCAGTAGTGGGATTACTGTAGCATGGCAGTTCTATTTTGAATTTTTCAAAGTATCCCCATACTGTTTTGCATAAGGGCTGTAGTCATTTATATTTCCAGCAATAGTATTGAAATATAAATAACTATACAAACTTATAAATATAAATCATCTCCACATCCTCTCCAACACTTGCTATCTTTCGTCTTTTTGATAATAGCCATTCTAACAGGTATGTGGTGATATATTATTGTGGTTTTACTTTGCATTTCTTTGATTAGTGATGTTGAACTTTTTTTTTTTCATATACCTATTGGCCATTTGTATGTCTTCTTTTGAGAAATGTCATTTCCTGTATCATCTGGCTATATTCTCTTTGCTGGCCCCAACATGTGACGACAATTTTGTAATATCATTTTCCATGGAGAGAAGAGAAAGATACTCAGTCTTTCCTCCGGCGCAGTTGATCAAGTTTGTTTTTTATGGTAAGACTTCACACATAGGTGTACTTGCTATTTATCGTATTGCTATAAGTTTGTGCCAAAGAGGCACAGGAGTTCTGATGAATTCTATTTTCTTTCACTATTCCCATCAGGAAAGAAAACTGATGAATGGTACATTTATAAATGTTTATGTTGCATTCACAAGCATATTCCTGGTGAAAAACTTACTTTTGATGAGACATTAATAAAAATCTGCTTCTCTGTTTACAGTATTAAGTCAGGTGATTGAAAGGTTATTTACCAAGAACTTCAACTAGACTTCTTAACAGCAACAAAAACTAGAATGCAGAGGACTAATTTATATTGTTTATGGATGTATATTTATGTAGAAGAAGTAAGAAAGCAGATGTGGGGATGATATACACTAATTTTTTTTTTTTTTTGAGATGGAGTCTCGCCCTGTTGCCCAGGCTGGAGTGCAGTGGCACAATCTCGGCTCACTGCAACCTCTGCCTCCCATGTTCAAACGATTCTCCTGCCTTAGCATCTCGAGTAGCTGGGATTAGACGCACTCGCCACCATGCCCAGCTAATTTTTTATTTTTAGTAGAGATGGAGTTTCACCATGTTGGCCATGCTGGTCTCGATCTCCTGACCTCAAGTGATCCACCTGCCTTGACCTCCTAAAGTGCTGGGATTACAGATGTGAGCCACTGTGCCCAGCCCATACACACGAATTTTGAATAGAGTTATATCCAGGGATGGAGGGAAAGAGAGGATGATGCACACTGGGTGAGGCAGTAGCTGGACTGTAATATTTTGTTTATTAAGTAAATAGCATGTTTACTGAAAAGATGGGTTTGAAGCAAATAAGATAAAATATTAACAGCTGTTTTATCTTGGTGGTATACCACACAATTTATCATTTTCTGTGTCTTTTGTATGCCTGAATTGTTTCACATTTTTAAAAACTGTTTTAAGATATATTTCCTTTTCCCGTTCATTATGTTTAAAGAATGCCAATCAGTTAAAGGACTGAAATTGAGAGTGAATTTCTGGTATTTCTGATCAAGGAGAGTAAATCATTGGATCAACTTCTCATAAACTTGGTGGAGATAAATGTAAAAAGAAAAAAATGACGCTGAACTTCTTTTCTGAAACTGAGCTAGCACTTCCGAAAAGAGCAAAATCACAGAACCCAGATCCATTAAGCTTGTTCTTTGGCTCATGCAATTACATACACGAGTTCTTACATCCAACATTCAGACCTCTGTATCTCCTGCTTTGCATTCAGGAACATTTATAGTCAATGAATATCTGAATACCTAATAGAATTACTAATGGTGATTTTGGAATTCCATTTTTCTAAGTTTTTTGTTTGTTTGTTTGTTTGTTTTAATACAAAGTTCCTTTGGTCAATGACTTAGCTGTGGTCTCGCCTAGATACAGGGAATGGACTTCTCCAAGTCCCCAAGTATCTCTTGTGAGTTCATCACACGGTTACATAACATATTTCCCTGGCTTATTGCCTTAATTGGCCTCCAGAATTTTCTAATTTGGGAAAGTGTTCCCAGAAAACAAGATAGAGGGATTGGGAAGAGTGACACAGGGAAGGAAGGAAGGCAAATGGGAGTGCAATCTCAGCTTGTTCACTCCTGGAGGCAGCTGAGGCATGACTGCGCAGGGGCTCCTAATGAGCCACGGAGTGACTTCAGAATGGACGGCCTGTGCGCCTGAAAGAGGGAGGGAACCTTTATTCATCAATTTCCAGCTCCGATTCTCCAAGGGGTGTTCTTGGGGCATGAATTCTCTTGTGCGTTGGGATGATGCTTGTGTGAGTGCTGGGCCGATTGTGGCAGGTGTTCCATGCTGTGGTGTCAAAATGCAAGAGATATGCTGCAGCAGAGGGGAGGTGCTGGGAGGTTTCATCTGCTCGAAGCTGCTTGCTCTAGCAATAGCTAGAGTAAGAGATGGACGAAGGGTATGAGCCAGGGCCTAAGTTTTGTGCCATCAGGTGATCCTGAGAAAATGGCAATCTCCTGGGTTGTGTGAAACGAAAACCTACTGCTCTGCCCTTCTTCAGTCACACAAGAGAAGACAAATCCGTGTGTTGTTCCTGTCACTCAGGGGGCAAAACCGCACATCAGGGTTGCTGACTTTTAGCACTGAAAATTATTATTTTTTATTATTATGTGTTTGAATCAAACAATATTATATGAAATAGGCCATGTCCTGGTTTTCGGAGAAAGCAGTAAATCCATTCCAGAGTCCCTCGGGAGTGTCCCAGTGCAATGCATTTGGAGAAAATGCTCTTCATGAAAGGCCATTAGGGTTATTACATCCTTAATAAAATAGGCAAAAAGAAGGCATTTTTCCCCTTTTACATTTTATGTTATAAGTGTGTGTTGGCCGGGCGTGGTGGCTCACGCCTGTAATCCCAGCACTTTGGGAGGCCGATGTGGGCGGATCACGAGGTCAGGAGATTGAGACCATCTTGTGAATGGTGAAACCCCGTCTCTACTAAAAATACAAAAAATTAGCTGGGTGTGGTGGCGGGCGCCTGTAGTCCCAGCTACTCGGGAGGCTGAGGCAGGAGAATGGCGTGAACCCGGGAGGCGCAGCTTGCAGTGAGCTGAGATTGCGCCACTGCACTCCAGCCTAGGTGACAGAGTGAGACTCCGTCTCAAAAAAAAAAAAAAAAAGTGTGTGTTATAAGGATAATGATGATGCAAGGGCTTCATTAGGACAAAATGTTGCCTAAACTGCATTTTTTTTTTTTTTTGAGACAGGGTCTCACTCCCATCACCCAGACAGGAGTGCCGTGGTGTGAACATGGCTCACTGCAGTCTTGACTTCCCTGGGCTCACTTAGGTGATTCTCTCACCTCAGCCTCCCAAGTAGCTGAGATTACAGGCGTGCACCACCACACCCAGCTAATTGTTCATAGTTTTGGTAGAAACTGGGTCTCACCATGTTGCCCATGCTAGCCTCAAACTCCTGACCTCAGGTGATCCACCCTCCTCGGCCTCCCAAAGCGCTGAGATTACAGGCGTGAGCCACCATGCCTGGCCAAAACTGCATTATTTATCTCGATTTTCAACTTTGGATTCTCTAAGTAGCCATGATTCACCCTCACTGGATTTGGAGAAAGCAAAAAAATACGTGAAAATATTTTTTATCTTAGACTCTAAGATCATAATGAGAAGCTTATAACTAAGGCTGTCTTACAAACACCTGCGATAACCTGCTAGAAATGTCAATATCAATATACACGCCATGTCTGCACCTGTCTAGTTACAACTGTTGGCTGCACATCTGGGGAAACCGAGGAAGAATACACCCCAAAGTGCGGGGAGCCTGATGAGTTCACCAAACCCCAGGCTACCAGGAGGAAAGGAAATCCCTGGAGCCTTGAGTTAGGTGGTTTTTAAATAAAACAGTGGGCAGAATTATTTTGTGCTTCAATAGGAAATGTATGGGCATCCCCTCACCAAGAGGCTCTATGTCATCCTGCTGAATTGCTTGAAAAAAGAACCCAGGCAATCCACGCATGACAGAGTCATAATGTTTTGTGAGAGAAATGAAAAGGCGTTTGGGGTGTGTTGGGACTGACATCTGGAAGGGAATCACGTGCGGCTCCGTACTCTATTCCCGTGACTCCAAAATCAGAGACGGTTGGCAGAAACAGACCACTCACCGAAGCCAGGGGCGGTGCCAGGGGAAGACAGGAGGCTGATATTTGTTGCTGAACACCCATCATGCGCCACATAGTGAAGTGGAAAGTGGTTGCTCACTTCTAGGTTTGTCTGTCTCAAAGTGAGTGTCCCGCTGCTCCAAACCACGCAGGGTCCGGCTACCAGCTGCGCCCGCTGCTCTCCAGACATTGAACAGGGATCTCGGCAGTCTCCAGGCCTCAGGGTCAGCCTGGTCGTAAGGGTCTCGGACTCAACCCTGGCAGCCAGCTGGGATCGCTTCCAGGCAAGGGTCACAGGACATTACATACTGTCCAATTTTATCTGAGTCAGCGAAAGAGCTCATGTTGCTCAAGGAATTCTACAGGGATTTGCCCAGAGTGGAGTAGGCTAGAATGAAAAACTAGCACATCGAAGGAAGAAAAATAACTTCAGTGTTTCCAAATTGTGTTTCTGGATACCTGGGATCATGAGACTCTAGGAAAATCTGATCGGCTTTTTGTTGTGTTTCATCCCAAAGCAGCCGGCTGACTAAGAGGATGAGACCATTACCGTGAACCGCAGCAGCAGCAGCCAGGCCATTTTCTATCCTATGTTTTAACTGGCAAAGCGCTGCCATATACTTATGTCACAGAATGCTCAGAATAACTCTGTTGGCATGTTTTACTGACCCACCACACAGATGAGGAGAGATGGAGTGTACTAGTGACCTCCCCACAGTCAGAGCTTCTTTGTGGTAAGGCCGGCGTTACCACCTGGATCTGTTGACTGTGGCTCCAGGGGACATTCTGTGACACGGGAGAACCTGAGTTGAGACCGACTTCATCCAGGGTGCACTGGGAATCTGCCTGTGTATCCCACAGATGTTTCAGGCTTACCATGTTCTAAATTCAACCCCTGATCTCCCATCTTACACCAAGCCCACTCTACCTGCAGCCTTCCCCACCTCAGTTACAGCAATGCCATTCTTTTTTTTTTTTATGTGTTTTTGATAAATCTATTCTCCCCCAGCTTTATTGAGCTATAACTGACAAATACAATTATATAAATTTTAGGGGTACAATGATGATTTGATATGTTTATATATTGTGAAATGATTACCATAATCAAGTGAGTTAAGATGTCCCTTGCCTTCTGTGGTTATGTGAAAGGAAAATAAAATCTCTGGGACCTCAAACCCCCTATGGCAAAGGGAAAAGTTAAGTTTGGGAGCTGAGTCATGCAAAAAACAACAATGACAACAAAAAACAAAACCTGCTTTCCTTTTGTTCCTAGACTCACAGCTGCAGGATAGAAGGCCACATACCTCTCCAGGTGGCTTCCCTCACCCTGTGTATTAGTTCATTTTCATGCTGCTGATAAAGACACACCCGAGACTGGGCAATTTACAAAAGAAAGTGGTTTAATTGGACTTACAGTTCCACGTGGCTGGGGAAGCCTCACAATCATGGCGAAGGCAAGGAGGAACAAGTCACATCTTACATGGATGGCAGCAGGCAAAGAGAAAATTTGTGCAGGGGAAATCCTCTTTTTAAAACCATCAGATCTCGTGAGACTTATTCACTGTCAAGAGAATAGCATGGGAAAGTCTTGCCCCCATGATTCAATCACCTTCCACCAGGTCCCTCCCACAACGTGTGGGAATTCAAGATGAGATTAGGATGGGGACACAGCCAAACCAGATCACCCTGACAATGTAAGATAACTAACAGCTTATCTTCACGGGTGTGGAACAAAGACAAGACTAGAAATCATCCCTCTGCCCACCCCAAAACAAATGCATATTTGACTTCTTTCTCTACTCTATTTTTATCTTATGTAAAATGCAGATTTACTGAGCGTGACAAGAATGTGTAATTGACTGTTCCTCTATACCCTCCTCTCACATGTAACATGTGAATTCAGTAAGCACTAATGAAAGTTTCACAAGAATATAACCACTTATCTGGCTACCTACCCACTCTTTTCTTTCCTTTTTCCCCTCCTGCTGCTCTTTCCCCTTTAAATATTGAAGTCTTCAAAACCCTCTTTGGAAAATACATGGGCCACAGATTGTATGGGAACTTGTGTTTCTTTTTCCCAGTGCATCCTCAACCTTGGCAACATGAACCTCTAAATTGATCAAGGCCTGTCTCAGACACTTTTTGGTGTACAATTACCTTCTGTGTGTGTCTGTGTGTGGTGAGAACATTTAAGATCTGCTCTCTCTTAGCAAATCTCAAGTATATAATAATCAGTAACCATAGACACCATGCTGTACAGTAGATTTCCAGAACTTATCTTCTATCTGAAAGTTTGTACCATTTGACCAACCTCTCTCCATTTCTCTCACTCCCCAGCCCCTGGCAACCACACCTCTCATCTCTGCTTCTAAGTTTGACTTTTTTAGATTCCAAATGAGTGAGGTCACCCAGTATTTCTTTCTCTGACTCTTTATTTCACTGAACATACTGTGCTCTGGGCTCACCTATGTTGTGTCAAATGATAGGATTTTCTTCTTTTAAGGCTGAATATTATTCTGTTGTGTATATATACTCCATTTTCTGTATTCATCTGTTGACAGACAGGTTGATTCTACACCTTGGCTATTGTGAATAGTGCTGCCATGGACACGGGAGTGCAGATATTTCTTTGAGATACTGATGTTGTTTCCTGTGGATATATATCAGAAGTGGGATTGGTGGATCTCATGGTAGTTCTATTTGTAATTTTTGGAGGAAGCAGCTCCATATTGTTTTCCATAATGGGGTACTAGTTTATGTTTCCACTAACAGCTTAGAAGTGTTCACTTTTCTCCACATCCTTACCAACCCTTGTCATGGCTTGTCTTCTATAGTAGCCATCCTGACATGTATAAGGTGCTGTCTCATTGTGGTATTGATTTGCATTTCCTTGATGGTTCATGATGTTCCGCATCTTTTCATGTACTTGTGGGACATTTTGGTGTCTTCTTTGAAAAACGTCTTCAGGTCCTTAAGCCAACTTTGTTTTTTCAGTTACCCAAGTAAGCAAATAAACAAACAAACAAAATCCTTACAGTCATCGTTGTCTCTATTTTTCTCTCACACCCACATTCGATTTGTCATGAAATGCCATGAACTTGACCTTTAAAAATATCCAGAATTTGGCCACTTCTCACCACCCTCACAGCTGTCACCCTGGTCTGAATCACCGTTGACATTTGCATGGATTCTTGCAATGGCCTCCTAATTGGTCTCCCTGCTTCTTCCCTTTGTCCCCAATATAATAGCCAGAGTTATCTTTTTTTTTTAGACAGGGTCTTCCTCTGTCACCCAGGCTGGAGTGCAGTGGCACCATCTCTACTCACTGCAACTTCCACCTCCCCGGTCTCAAACGATCCTCCCACCTCAGCCTCTGGAGTAGCTGGAACCACAGGCAGGCACCAGCATGCCCAGCTATTTATTTTGTAGTTTTTGTAGAGGTAGGGTTTTGCCATGTTGCTAGGCTGGTCTCAAACTCCTGGACTCAAGGCATCTGCCCACCTTGGCCTCCCAAAGTGTTGGGATTACAGGTGTGAGCCACCGTACACAGCCCAAGGTGTTTTTGTTTTGTTTTGTTTTGTTTTGTTTTTGAGATGGAGTCTCACCTGTCGCCAGGCTGGAGTGCAGTGGCACAAACTTGGCTCACTGCAACCTCCACCCCCCAGGTTCAAGCGATTCTCCTGCCTCAGTCTCCTGAGTAGCTGGGACTACAGGTGCACGCCACCGCACTCAGCTAATTTCTGTAGTTTTAGTACAGATGGGTTTTCACCATGTTGGCCAGGATGGTCTCTATCTCTTGACCTTGTGATCTGCCTGCCTCGGCCTCCTGAAGTGCTGGGATTGCTTACAGGCGTGAGCCACTGCGCCCGTCCCAGAGTGATCTTTCAACAGGTGACTTAGATAATAAGTCTCTGCTCAGAACCCTGTACTAGCTCATTTCACTCAGTGTAAAAACTAAAGTTCTTACAACGATGACAAAGTCCTCTTTGTTTGTCCCACCCCATTGCTGTGATGACCTCCAGTAGGAGGAGTAGCTACTACGTGCTTCTAATCTACTCCAGCCACCCCGGCTTCCTTACCACTCCTCCGGCATCTCAGGCACGCTTACTCCAAGGTCTTTGCTCTAGATGTTCCATCTTCTTCAAATGCTCTTTCCTCATATTTTGCTTAGCCAACTCCCTCACCTCCTTCAAGTCTTCTCGGGGTTTGAAGAACTGAGAACTGTCTAACACCACATCCTGCTCCGTATCATTGCATTCCAACCCTGCACGCCCGATTCTTTTTTTCTACAACCCTTATTTCCTTCTATGTTACTATATACAGGTAACCGGTAAACTGCGCTATTATTCAAATACATACTCTGACCCTCTCAGGAGGATTATCCTTTCCCCACCCCATTGGCCTTGGACATGGCTACGTGACTGGGTCTGATTGCTGACATAGAAGCAAAAGCATTGTTACTTGTAGGCAGAAGTTACAGGAGCCAGCGTGTGGTTTACCATGTTCTTTATCCTGCCATAATGCCTTTTGCATCTGACTTCTTTCACTTAGCAGTAGTATTTTTGAGTTCACCCATTTTTGAGTTTATGACACCTTGTTCCTTTTCATTGCTGAATAGTATTCCAAAATGTGACTGAACTACAATGTGTTTATTCAGAGTTGCAGATAATGGCTACTCCATCAGGCTGGGTCCTAGAAAGATGACAATCTGTCACAGAGCTGTAGTTAACCAGTAATTGTCAGGTCTCATGGGTCAGAAATGAACTATTGTGCTAGAAGCCACTGAGATTCTGCAAACTAACCTAATTGATGCATATCTGTGTTTTCTGCTCATTGATGGATCAGAAGCATATAGAAAGAGTTTGGAGTGTAGCAGGTCTTTAATAAATATTTGTTAAATGAATAGATGCTGAGGAATGTGATTTAAGGAATGGCAGGAATATTCCAGTCTTGAAATATCCTTCCCTCTCTGCTTTCTGAAACTTGAAACTGTAGTATTATAAATGTACCCTTTTAGGTTAAGTATTATTACTCACTTTTAACATTATTAGAAGTATGCCATAATTGTTTTAATTAGTATTTTTAGTATAAATGATGTGTTAAACATGATTTGGGACAAAGAAAACACATGCTAGTAATTGGAAAGAGTGCTAAAAAATTATCTCTCTATTCGTCAAATGACTTACAGGTGAATAACTCCTGTTCTAGAAACTGAACCGTAAAAAAATTGGGCCCCCTTTTTAAAAATCATTACACAATTTATCTCTGATTCTCAAACTTCTGTTATCATTAACATTATTTTTTAAGTTTTATAATTTTTTTTTTTTTTTGAGGCAGAGTGTCGCTCTGTTGCCCAGGCTGGAGTGCAGTGGCGCCATCTCGGCTCTCTGCAACCTCCGCCTCCCAGGTTCAAGCCATTCTCCTGCCTCAGCCTCCCAAGTAGCTGGGATTACAGGCTAGCGCCACCATGCCTAGCTAATTTTTGTATTTTTTAGTAGAGAAGGGGTTTCACCATGTTGGCCAGGCTGGTCTCAAACTCCTGACCTCAGGTGATCGACCTGCCTCTCCTCCCAAAGTGCTGGGATTACAGGTGTGAGCCACCGTGCCCAGCCAAGTTTTATAATTTTAAAATAGCTTTATTGAGATACAATTTACATATAATAAAATTTGCTAATTTCAGGTATACAGTTCGATGGCCTAAAATAATTTTTTTTACACAGAGTCTTGCTGTGTGGCCCAGGCTGGAGTGCAGTGATGCGATCACAGCTCACTGCAACCTCTGCCTCCCGGGTTCAAGCGGTTCTTGCGCTTCCGTGACGTCACAAGGGCGCGCCTTCCGTGACGTCACAAGGGGCGCCTTCCGTGACGTCACAAGGGCGCGCCTTCCGTGACGTCACAAGGGCGCGCCTTCCGTGACGTCACAAGGGCGCGCCTTCGCCGACACCATAGCGGTGGGCCTTTGGCGACGTCAGAGGCGCGGGTGTTCGCCTACGTCACTGGGGCGCTACGGTGCCTGGAGCTGGGCGGTCTTCTCGTCAGAGTGGGGACTGGTGAGAGCGACCTCCCCGCCAGGTCCTGTGTGTTGCCGGCTGAAGAAGGGTAGCTGAAAAATTCAGACCCAGCACAGTGTTTATGTTGGTCAAAAATAGAAAACTATGGCGCGGCCGAGGCGGGAGGACCCTTCAGGCCAAGAGCAGCCTAGCAACATGGCGCAACCCCATCTCTGTAGTCCTACCTCAGCCCCCCAGCTACTTGAACCCAAAGATTCAAGGCTCCAGTGAGCTATGATCCCACCACAGCATTCCAGCCTGCGAGATTGAGGTAAACCCTGTGTAAAAAAATTAAAAAACTATCCAGGTGTGCAATAAAACATGAGGCTGGCTGGGCCCTACTGTAATCCCAGCACTTTGGGAGGCCGAGGCGGGAGGATGGATGGCTTGGGCTCAGGAGTTCGAGACCAGCCTGGGCAACATGACGAAACCCCGTCTCTACAGAAGATACAAAAATTAGCCGGGCGCGGTGTGCACCTGGCCTAATTTTTGTATTTTTTTTCTAGAGATGGGGTGGGGTGGGGGCTCGCTATGTTGCCCGGGCCAGTTTCGAACTCCTGAGTTGAGGCGATCTTCTCACCTTGGCCATCAGAGTTGTCGGGATTACAGGTGTGAGGGACAGCGCCCCACCTGGGTTAGGCTACTTAATAACATAAGAAAGTGCTCCGCCAGGCTCAGTGGCTGACACCTGTAATCCCAACACTTTGGGAGGCCGAGGCGGGTGGATCACCTGAGGTCAGGAGTTGGAGACCAGCCTGGCCATGGTGAAACCCAGTCTCTACAAAAAATACAAAAATTAGCCGGCCGTGGTGGCGCATGCCTGTAGTCCCAGCTACTTAGGAGGCTGATAAAGGAGAATTACTTGAACCCGGGAGGCGGAGGTTGCATTGGGCCGAGATCGCACCACTGCACCCCAGCCTGGGCGACACAGCGAGACTCCAAAGTTTGACACCAGCCTGGGCAATGTAGTGACACCCTGTCTCTACAAAACAAACAAACAAAAACCCAGGCATAACTGTGTCCACCTGTGGCCCTAGCTAGTTAGGAGGCTGAGGCAGGAGGATCACTTGAGGCCAGGAGCTCAAGGCTGCAGTGAGCTATGATAATCCCACTGCTTCCCATCCTGAGCAATAGAATGAAAGCATGTCTCTAGCTAGCTAGCTAGCTAGCTAGCTAGATAATTGATACGGAGTTTTGTATCAAATTTTTTCCCTAGATTTGAGCATGTTTTTCTAAAGTAGCATTCAATACATCAGCATTTTACAGTGTTATTATTTGTTAATATGATTATGTTTTTCTGAAATACAGTGTCCTTTACAAAAGCAGTTTTGTCTTTCAAAGGACATAGATAAGGCCCTCAAGTGAATTTGTTTGATGTTGGCGACCTTGGTACCATTTTGTCCACTTGATTGGAAAAGCCAGTCAATAATCTCAGGTCACTGTTGGCCTTAGAAGAAGAGCCCAAAGGCAACAAGCAAAGGCGCTGGTGTCCAGTCGCCTTCTAGAAGCATTTTCACTTTCCCTTAAGGTTTCCCTTGATGAACATAGAAGTACTGTATGTAGAATTGACCCAGTGCTGCCCTGGCAACTTTGTATATTAGCCCAAATTTACATTTCTTACCTTTATGAGAGGCACCCTGGTAGGCTAGTGGAGTTACACACAAAGTCTGATCTCAGCTGCACTGTCCAGAGATGCAACACGGTCCAATCAAATAACATTCTCTGAGCCCGTTTCTTTAGCTGTGAAAGAAGAATAACACCCATCTAAAAAGGCAGCTTATTGTATTTGATTGGTCTTTTATTTTCTATGAAACTGTGTTTAACACAGTAATTATTTTCATTTGTATACTACATTTGTGTTGTGTTTTTGGTTTTAGTTTTGTTTTTGAAATGGAGTCTTTCTTTTAGTGGTTTTTTGTTTTGTTTTGTTTTGTTTTTGAGATGGAGTCTTTCTATTGTCACCCAGGCTAGAGTGCAGTGGCGTGATCTCCACTCACTGCAACCTCCACCTCCCAGGTTCAAGTGATTCTCCTGCCTCAGCCTCCTGAGAAGCTGGGATTACAGGTGCCCACCACCACGCCCAGCTAATTTTTTAAATATATTTTTAGTAGAGATGGGGTTACAACATGTTGTCCAGGCTGGTCTCAAACTACTGACGTCAAGTGATCCACCCGCCTTGGCTCCCCAAAGTGCTGGGATTATAGGCATGAGCCACCGCGCCTGGCTTGTTTTAAAATAAGGGTTTCTTGGCTAGGCATGGTGGCTCACACCTGTAATCCCAGCACTTTGGGAGGCCAAGGTCAGTGGATCACCTGAGGTCAGGAGTTCGAGACCAGCCTGACCAATATGGAGAAACCCTGTCTCAACTGAAAATACAAAATTAGCCAGGCGTGGTGGTGCATGCCTGTAATTCCAGCTACTCAGGAGGCTGAGGAAGGAGAATTGCTTGAACCCAGGGGGCAGAGGTTGCAGTGAGCTGAGATCGCACCATTGCACTCCAGCCTGGGCAACGAGCAAAACTCTGTCTCAAAATAAAAAAAAGATTTCTTAAAATGATATTTTCAGTATTTTATAGATGATGTGTAAGCAGCAATCTTAATAGGATGTTACCCGACACTTTGCGAGACTGGCAGCTGATTTGATCCAGATGTCTCTAATTCTTTTTTCTTCTTCTTTTTCTTTTTCTTTTTCTGTGTTTTTTTTTTTTTTTTTTTTTTTTTGACAGAGCCTTGCTCCGTCCCCCATGCTGGAGTGCAGTGGCACGATCTCGGCTCACTGCAACCTCCACCTCCCGGGTTCAAGCGATTCTCCTGCCTCAGGCTCCCGAGTAGCTGGGATTACAGGCGCGTGCCACCATGCACAGCTAATTTTTTGTATTTTTGGTAGAGACAGCGTTTCACCATGTTGGCCAGGCTGGTCTCGAACTCCTGACCTTAGGTGATCTGCCTGCCTCGGCTTCCCAAAGTGTTAGGATTACAGGCGTCAGCCACTGTGCCTGGCCCAGATGTCTCTAATTCTAACATGAGACGTATTGCAGGATCATAGCAGAGTGAGTTGCTGATGTATCCAGAAGGAAACGAGCATGGAACTCTCACGACAGCTGTCCTGAGAAGTGTGTGTGTGCTGTACTTGAATATCTCACTGCTCATTTATACACAGGCTTTCTGGTGACTGAGTTAACAGTATCTGTTTCATAAATAATGTAGCCCTCTTTCTTTCTTTCTCTCTCTCTCTCTTTTTTTTTTTTTTTTTTTTTGAGACAGGGTCTTGCTCTGCTACCCAGGCTGGAGTGCAATGGTGCAGTCTTGGCTCACGGCAACTTCAGCCTCCTGGGTTCAAGCGATTCTCCTGCCTCAGCCTCCCAAGTAGCTGGGATTACAGGCATGCGCCACCACGCCTGGCTAATTTTTTCTTTTTTTTTTTTGAGACGGAGTTTCGCTGTTGTTGCCCAGGCTGGAGTGCAATGGCACAATCTCGGCTCACCACAATCTTTGCCTTTCGGGTTCAAGGGATTCTCCTGCCTCAGCCTCCCGAGTAGCTGGGATTACAGGCATGTGCCACCACACCCGGCTAATGTTGTAGTTTTAGTAGAGACGGGGTTTCTCTATGTTGGTTAGGCTGGTCTCAAACTCCTGACCTCAGGTGATCTACCCGCCTCGGCCTCTCAAAGTGCTGGGATCACAGGCATGAGCCATCACTCCTGGCCTAATTTTTGTATTTTTAGTAGAGAGAGGGTTTCACTCTGTTGGCCAGGCTGGTCTCGAATTCCTGACCTCAAGTTATCTGCCTGCCTCGGCCTCCCAAACTGTTGGAATTACAGGCGTGAACCACCATGCCTGGCCAGCTCTAGTTCTTTAAGCCTACATGTTTTGCACTTGTTAAAAGTATTTGAACATACAATTACTCAGCTTCCCTTGTTGACGTGTGAATTTTGTATAATCTTATTTTTTCCAATCTAAGCTTTATTTTATCCCGTTTCTTCTATATTTGTATAACTTTAGGCGGCTATCTTCATTGAAAGTTTTTTCTCAAAAGCCTTAAGATAGAACATAGTTCTTGGCAGCAATTTGAAAGTTATTTGAGGAGAAGAGGAGACTTACAATGATGATTCAAATGAAGGAAACTAAAAAGTAATGAAGCAAGGCAGAGGAAAAAGCAGTATTCACTTGAGCACATCCCAAAAGAATAACATTTCAAATGTAACTAGGAAAAAGTATGCTGAAGTTCGCAATACAGAAATAATTATTAATAAGATAGCTTTAAAGCCCTGCTCAGCTTTTGAATGTTGGGAATTGACCCAGAGGTGGCTGTAACCTAAGATGGTTCCTTCAGTAATGACCATTTTTTCTTTTTCAAGATGATGATTATTCCCCACCTTCTAAGAGACAAAGACCAACGAGCCACCACAGCCACCAGTCCCAGAACCCGCCAATGCTGGGGAACGGAAAATGAGGGAGTTCAACTCTGGTAAGTTCTCAGCGAAATCCATGACCTTTTCCTTTATCTTCTGGACTCTCAATGTGACTGATGAAAGTTACCACATGCTCTGCAGGGGGAAATGGTTTAGCATGTGTTACTACATCTTAATCACATCTTTGTAAAGCCAGGAGCATTTTACAAGTCATGTTACAGACATTGTTTAAACATAGTCTGTATTTACCAAAGTATAGGACGTTGTATCATCTCATATTAATTAGTTAGTTGGCTCAAAATGAGTGCTAATGACTTAGTAATTCAGTGATTTCTGTTAGCTTTAAAACCTTTATTTCAGAACTATTTCACCTCTTGGTTTTCATTTTTGCTGTGTGTCACTGCCTGCCGGCTGCTAATTTATTAACTCCCAGTGAATCATGTGTCCTGTGAAGGGACTGAATATTAGTGGCAATTTATGTTGATGATTTGTATTTTGAATAAATAGTTTGAATACATAGAACATTAAGCTTGTATACATTTTGAAAATAGTATTTTAATATTCTACTGTGTCATAGTTACAATGATTGGATATATATTGAATTTATATGTACTTTAAGTTGTTATATGTTTATGGTCTTTAGCATTCTAACGTGCAATTGTGTATCTGTTAAGTCTTTTTTTTTTTTCGAGATTAGACTGATTTATTGAGGCGTCTGTTTGATGCCACATTAAGTGGCCCAGGCTTTGTGTAGGGGTTGAGGTTAAAGCAGGAAGAAGGGTGGTGAGAGGCGGGGCACCAGGGTTAGGTTGGAATACCTGGGGGTGCTCTGAGGCTCCCCAAGTTTCCCTGGTCTTGGCCGGCTGTGCTGCTGGCCTGGGCATCTGATGGGCCTGCAAGGGTGGTCCAGGGGCTAGGGCAGGGACTTTGGAGTCACGCCGTTGGCTTTGAATCCAGACTCCTACGCTTGGTAGCTGTGAACTCTCCATGCCTCAGGGACCTGCAGAACTGAGCTCTGTCTGAGCCAGGTTCCATCCAGGCACTGTGCATCCATCCAGAGGGGCACTGCCTCAGGCTGCTCGCTATTCACTGCCTTCCCAAGCAGACCCTTGTCTCCTTCTAGGCCCTCACAATCCAGTGGAGGAGACGAAACTCATCTGCCTCTGTCCCTCTGGGCACGCCTCATGCCAGGTGCATCTGTGGACAGGGGCCACGCTCCTGGGCTTCCAAAGTTGGAGAAAGCTGCCAGGCTCAGGTGGGTACATCACAGCAGCTGCTGCCCTCTGAACACAGTGACAAAAGAACACTCTGGGCCTGGAGCCCTGGTCTGGGGCATTGGGCAAGGCTGTTGCACTTCTCTGATCCCATTTCCCCATCTGGAAAGTGCGCTGATTGTATCTCCCTGTGGGCACTGAGGGCTCAGTGTTAGTTTGATAGCCAGCATCTGGGGTTTGGGCTGTAATTCCCCATCAGCCCCATAGCTGCGGGGAACCAGGGACTTTGCTGGGATTACCCTAGGCATCAGTTTAGCTTCCTGCCCCTGGCTTGGGCTCAGCACCTGAAGTAGTCTAGGGGGTAGGTGGTCCTGGTGGGGGCTGGGGCTTTTACTCAGACTGAGGTCACACCCAGAGCCAGAAGTCTTGGTGCCTGCTCTGGGCAAAGGTGCCAGCCTGTGCGACAAGAGCGAAACTCCGTCTCCAAAACAAAAACAAAAAACCTTGCGTCATTTCAAGGGGCTCACACCTCCCTAAGGGCCTGGTAATTGGCTGGCTCTGGCCTGCATCTGGCCCCGAGGGTGTAGGTAACACCCCACCTTACCTGGTTTCTTCCTGCCAGGGCCAATCTTCAGACCTCAGGACTTTGCAGCCTATCCCACCTCCCCTCTGGCCAGCCTTGAGCCCTTGTGGGTCCAGCACTTTTTCCAGGCTGTCTCCTGGTTGTCCTTCTGCCTCGAGGCCTGGCTCATGCTGCTCCCCCTCCCACTCTCCAAGACCCACAAGGACCACTCCACACCCAGCTCAGCCCCATCCCCTCAGATAGTCCTTTCTCTTTCCTCAGGTGGCCAGGTGCATATCTTGGTGTGAGGACCTTCACTGTATCTGGGAATGCCTACTGGTTACCTCGGTAACAGAGAACAAGGCATTTGCCTGATATGAGTGTCTTGGTTCACTGTCTACATGGCTAGGGAGGGAGTCAATAATAGGCTTTTCACTTGCTGCAAGGGCCAGTTCTCCTGGCCCCATGGCTCTAGGGATGGAGGACGCTGCAGGAGATGCACTGCTCACTTCCCAGCTGAGGACTGTGGGTCATCTCAGGGCGATTTCACAGTCCCCACATGCCCCACCCCCTCAGCTCTGCAAATACCAAGCAGTGCAGCCTGCCTAGGGGATGATGGGCTAGAGAGTGCCCAGGTAGTGCCCAGAGTGCCCTTGGCAGGCCCCTCACCTGGCTGCTTCCACAGCTCTGTAGCAAGAGTTCTAACCATTTTTGACCGTGAAGCCTGCTGAGAATAAGAGCTGTGGACTGTTTTCCCAGAAAGGCATGTACATGCTCTCCACACAAAACCTTTCATCGTGGCCAAGCACAGTGGCTCATGTAATCCCAGAACTTTGGGAGGCGGAGCCAGTCGGATCACCTGAGGTCAGGAGTTCAAGACCAGCCTGCCCAACATGGCGAAACCCTGTCTCTACTAAAAATACAAAAAATTAGCCAGGTGTGGTGGCAGCCACCTGTAATCCCAGCTACTCCGGAGGCTGAGGCAGGAGAATCACTTGAACCTGGGAGGCACAGGTTGTAGTGTGGTGAGATCATGCCACTGCACTCCAGCCTGGGCGACAGGAGCGAAACTCTGTCTCAAAAAACAAAACAAAACAAAACCTTGCATCCTTTCAGGGGGCTCACACCTCCCTAAGGGCCCAGTAATTAAACCCTTTGGGCCTGAGGGTGAGAAACTTTGTCTCAGTTCTTCCCCGAGTGATCAGCCCAGGGGTAAGGAAGGAGAAGCCAGAAAGCAGGACCCATGAGAAGGGCCCCCTCCTGGAGTTTGAGGCCCACTCCCTCCTGCCCCTGCCTCTCCTCTGTCCAGGACTCCTCCCTGCTCTGCCCCACTCCTGGGGCCATAACCATGGGGAGCTGTGGTTTTCTACAGGCCCCTGGGCACAAAGTGGACAGGCTCACCTGGAGGCGATCAGAGTAACATGGCAGGAAGTGAGGGGGAAAGCCGCCCTGGAACTGTGCCTCTCTGCCCCCTGACGTCACTGGCGTGCACTCCTCCCTCCCCTCACTCAGGCAGTGGCATGAGTTCCACGTGAGTGCTGTCCTGCTCCCTCTGCTGCCTCTTTTTTTCCTTGGGGCTGCCATAACACTTTCCCTTCCCCAGCCCTGCCAACCTGGTGGGACATTGGGCTTCCCTCTCACAGGGTCCTGGGGACAGGCCCATCCTTTATCATACCCACAGAGAGACCCTTTTTTTCTTCAGGACCTGGGGAGCAGCCAGGTTCCATGAGTTAAATGCAGATCTGAACCAAGCTGGGATTGGGGTACACACTCTCCTCTACTGAAAAGTAGCTAGGGATTCCAACTAGGTGAGAAGGAGAGTGGGGCAGAGCCAGACCAGACAAGGACTGATCACCTGGAAAAAGCCTGCCATCAAAGGTCTTGGCAAATGCTGGGTGCAGTGGCTCACTCCTGTAATCCCAGCACTTTGCGGGGCTGAGACAGATGGACTACTTGAGGCAAGGAGTTCGAGTCCAGCCTGGGCAACATGGCAAAACCCCATCTCTACTAGAAATACAAAAATTAGCTAGGCATGCTACACTCCTGTAATCCCAGCTACTCAGGAGACTGAGGCAGGAGAATCACTTGAACTGGGGAGGCAGAGGTCGAAGTGAGCCGAGATTGTGCCCCTGCACTCCAGTCTGGGAGACAGAGTGAAACTGGCCTCAAAAAAAAAAAAGAATATGGCCTTGGCAGAGAGGGGCCAGCCCAGCAGTGCCTTCCCTTGGGTTTCTCCTGGGTAGGCCTCTGCCATGAGGAGGTGCTTCCTTCTGCCTGTCCATGGCCCACAGCAATGGAATGTCTGCTTCTGGGGCTTGGGTGGGAGACTGCTGGCAGAACTGGAAACCTTCAGGTGGGGTTTTTTTGTTTTGTTTTGTTTTCGAGATGGAGCGTCGCTCTGTCACCCAGGCTGGAGTGCAGTGGTGGAATCTCAGTTCACTGCAACCTCCGCCCCACTGGGTTCAAACAATTCTCCTGTCTCAGCTTCCTGAGTAGCTGAGATTACAGGCATGTGCCACCATGCCCGGCTAGTTTTTGTATTTTTTGTATAGATGGCATTTCACCATGTTGGCTGGGCTGGTCTCGAGCTCCTGACCTCAAGTGATCCACCCACCTCGGCCTCCCAAAGTGCTGGGATTACAGGCATGAGCCACTGAGCCCAGCCCCTTCAGGGGGGTTTTGAGGCTTCACTACAATACTAGTTTCCTGTGGCTGCTGCAACAAATTACCACACACTTAGTGACTTAAAACAACCAAAATGTATTCCCTTACAGGTCTGAAGGCCAGAATTCTACAGTAAGTCCTACTGAGTCAAGGTGGGAGCAGGGTCGGTGGCTTCCGAGGCTCTGCGGGAGAATCCGTTTCCTGGCGGTAGAGGTGGCCTGCACTCCTCAGCTTGTGCTGCCCGTCTCGAATGACTGGAGTTTCCTGCTTCTGTCACTACACCTCCCACCCTCTCCCATCACCTGCTCTGCTCTTACAAGGATCCGAGTGAGTACATCAACCCCAAAAGCCAAAGACCCTTAACTTCATTATATCTGCAAAGCCTCTTTTGCCATATAAGGTCATGTTCACCAGTTCCCGGGATTAGGATATGGGCATCTTGGGGGCATCAGCCTGCTACAGCTAGGCTGCAAAACTGTTACACCCTCCTGGTGTTACAATGATTGGGAGAAAAAGGGTTGGCATTTTTTGCTTAGGGGTCCCTCTTAAACTTGTATCTGTAAGGTCGGGGGTCCCTCTTAATCTTGTGTTTTTGTTTTTGTTTTTTTGAGGTGGAGTCTTGCTCTGTCATCCAGGCTAGCAGTGGCGTGATCTTGGCTCGCTGCAATGTCTGCCTCCTGGGTTCAGATGATTCTCCTGCCTCAGCCTCCTGAGTAGCTGGGACTGCAGGCGCCCGCCACCATGCCCTGCTGTTTTGTATTTTTGGTAGGGACGGGGTGGGGGTGGGGCTAGGGAGGGGGGTTTTGGCTATGTTGCCCTGAGCTCAAAGCGATCCGCCTGCCTCTGCTGCCAAAGTGCTGGGATTACAGGCCTGCACCACTGCACCCGGCTGCTGTAAAGTCTTATTTCACACAGCTGAGACATGTTTTAGGAAGTTTGCTAAAAGACCCCGGGAGACCGCCTCATTGTGACCTCCCTGTTATTGTGTTTAATTTGATTGAACTTTTCTGCCCTCCTGCTTTTCAGCTTCTCTAATAGTCTCCCATTAAACCAATTCTAAGAACCACCAAAAAGGGGAAATTTTTTCTTGAAAGCAGTAAAATGATATGGACCGTTAGAATGTAAAATATATGAAATAAGTCATTATATGTTAGTGCTGCTCTGACATAGGGACGTATTATTGAGAAGCAACTTTTGCTTGATTTTCAGAGAAATGGAATAATCGTATCGCTGATCTATGTAAACAAATTGAAGAATTGTCTGAAAGAAAATATGGTATGTCTAAACTGGAAAAGTCCTGTAATCTTATGTTCATGGGCGTTTACACAATGGAGTTACTGTTCATCATGGGGGTACCGTGGACAAGCCCAGGGCTGCCGGCGAGTCATGCCATCCTTACACGTTTCTCCTTGTAAGGTGCTTTGTAGTGTCTACACACTTTGTTTCTAGATTGCTGCAAAGCTGAGGAAAAGTTGTATTTCTTTAGTTATTAGCATTTCTTTTAAACTTTCAGTATGGAGATTGGAAATTTATTTACATATTTATTGCAAAGCCCTGGATCTTAGGGATTTCATTGAATTATTTATTTATTTTTTTTGAGACGGAGCCTCACTCTGTCGCCCAGGCTGGAGTGCAGTGGCACGATCTCGGCTCACTGCAACCTCCGCCTCCCGGGTTCAAGCAGTTCTCTGCCTCAGCCTCCTGAGCAGCTAGGATACAGGCACCAGCCACCATGCCTGGCTGATTTTTGTATTTTTAGTAGAGACGGGGTTTCATGATCTTGGCTAGGCTGGTCTTGAACTGCTGACCTCCTGATCCACTCACCTCAGCCTCCCAAAGTGCTGGGATTACAGGTGTGAGCCGCCACGCCTGGCCAAATATTATTTTTTTAAATGAATTGTTTCTCTTAGTCTGCTTTGTTAAATTTGGAATTCATCTGGGCGTGGTGGCTCACACCTGTAATCCCAGCACTTTGGGAGGCCAAGGCAGGCAGATATCTAGGTCGGGAGTTCGAGACCAGCCTGACCAACATGGAGAAACCCCATCTCTACTAAAAATACAAAATTAGACGGGTGTGGTGGCGCATGTCTGTAATCCCAGCTATTCGGGAGGCCAAGGCAGGAGAATCGCTTGAACCCAGGAGGCAGAGGTTGCGGTGAGCCGAGGTTGCACCGTTGCACTCTAGCCTGGGCAAAAAGAGCAAAACTCCATCTCAAAATAAATAAATAAATAAAATGTTCAGTACTCACCAAGGTGCCCCTATTGTCTCTACTTTTATCTTGATGCATCACTGAATTGATGTTAGATTTCAAATTCATCATTGTCCTTACACTATTCTATCCTGAAGCCACCTTTATATAGTGATGAAAGAAATTAGTGATTTGTTATTATCCTCTCTCTGTTGGTATACATCAAATGCTCACCTAAAAAGAGCAACAACCAGTGGAAAACACATGATGTTTTTATTTGGGTGACTATTTACTTGTAACCTACTAGCAAACTATAAAATTGTATGATATGCAGAATTTTAACTGAATTGCTTTAAGTGAACATTTAAACATGATAAACAATATTGATGGTATTTATGTTAATATACTTAAAATGAACATTTTTCTTCATCATGAGTAATATAACCTACTCCTCAATGAAAACCTAGCATTAAATTTGCTAATGAATTCAATAACATTTCCATAATATTTTTAGTTACATGCTTAAGGTTCTCTTAGTGTTTCTCCCACTTTTTAATAGCTTATGCCTTTTTCGCCTTTGGTTTTTTTTGGTTCATTTTAAAGCAAAAATCTCACAACATGTGATATCTGGAAACACTGTAACCTAGTGGTAAGACCATAGGCCCTGGGGACACAGGCTGGCCACGTCTCTTCTCCTGTCTGAGCTTTAGTATCCTCTTTTGTGGTCGTGAGAACTGAAGATCTGTCCCGAAGATTTGATAAGATAGTAAAGTGCTTCACATAATACCAGACATATAAATACACAGTAAATGCTTCCTCCTTATATTTTTATTGATTGATTGATTGAGACAGAATCTTGCTCTCTTGCCCAGGCTGGAATGCAGTGGCGCGATCATGGTTTCTGCAACCTCCACCTCCTGGGTTCAGGCAGTTCTCTTGCCTCAGCCTCCCGAGTAGCTGGGATTACAGGTGCCTGCCACCATGCCCAGCTAATTATTGTACTTTTAGTACAGACGGGGTTTTACCATGTTGGCCAGGCTGGTCTCGAACTCCTGACCTCATGATCTGCCTGCCTCGGCCTCCCAAACTGCTGGGATTACAGGTGTGAGCCACTGTGCCCAGCCTGTCTTTTCTCTTCACACCCGCAGTTCATGATGAAATATTAAATATGTACTAGTGGATATTACTTTGCTGAATATTGCCTAGTGAATATTAAGTATTTATTCTCACCTTTCAGACATGAACTTATGAATTCAACAGGTGAAGATTTACAACTTGATAAATCAGCTTTGTGAGGTATGTCTTCAGTCTTAAGTCAGATTAGAAGATTATGTGAGGTAATTAACACTTAACATTGATTTAATGGTAGCTTCCACATGAAATAGTATGCCTCTAAGTATTAATTATGTCCTAGGACAGGAGAATTCATGTTGTCAAAATTCTCATACTCTCTAGAACAATAAACTCATTTTCTTTTTATTAGTAAATATTGCATTTATGGGTAGACAAAACTGAAAGAACAATATTTGTTCTACTTTTGAGATGCGAGATTCATCTGGCATAATGCATTGAACAGGTTATTATTGAAGTCTACACCAGTCAAGTGAATAAGCATTCATCAAATGTCCATGATATGCAGGACATAAGTTTTCTTTTAGAGTATGGAACCATGCATATTATCTTTTAATTAGATGATTTAGTTAGATATGTTTTTAAAGAACTAGAAATGTAATTGATTTTCTTGTTTTGGCTCTGGAGTGGAGTGGGGACGAAACAGAATGGATTCACGCTGTTTAGATTTACTAAAATGGAAGGATTGCAGCAAGATCATATCCCTAGTCTCCCCATAGCAAATGTCACCTGCTAGCTGTTTTTTTTTTTTTTTTTTTGGAGGTTGAAGTTTTGTTCTGTCACCCACGCTGGAGTGCAGTGGTATGATCTTAGCTGATGGCAAGCTCACCTCCTGGGTTCAAGCAATTCTCCCTGCCTCAGCCTCCTAAGTAGCTGGGATTACAGGCCTCTGCCACCACGCCTGCCTAATTTTTGTATTTATAGTAGAGTTGGCGTTTCACCATGTTGGCCAGGCTGGCCTTGAAGTCCTGACTTCAGGAGATTCACCCGCCTCAGCCTCCCAAAGTGCTGGGATTATGGGTGTGTCACTGCACTTGGATTTAATGGGATATTTCACTACAGACTTTGGTAAACAGAATATTAGCATGTTTGGTGTTCTTTTTATTTTACTCATACTATTTTTCTTTGGACTCAATCACAATAACAGAATTAAAGATCAAAGTGTAAAAGTTAAACACCAGTACAGATTCAATAATTATTCTTTTCTACATACTGTGTTTAAATGATATCCCTTTTTCTTTTTGTTCTTATAGCTCGAGCTGTAAAAGCCAAAGGTCCGGTGATGATCCCATACCCTTTTTTCCAGTCTCATGTTGAAGATTTTTATGTAGAAGGCCTTCCCAAAGGAATTTTTTTTTTTTTTTTGAGATGGAGTTTTCACTCTTATCGCCCAGGCTGGGGGGCAATGGCGCAACCTTGCTGGTCACTGCAACCTCTGCCTCCTGGGTTCAAGAAATTCTCCTGCCTTAGCCTCCCAAGTCACTGGGATTACAGGTGCCCACCACCACACGAGGCTAATTTTTGTATTTTTAGTGGAGATGGGGTTTCACCATGTTGGCCGGGCCAGTCTCGAACTCCTGACGTCAAGTGATCTTCCCGCCTCGACTCCTGACATCAAGTGATCTTTCCGCCTCGGCCTCCCAGAGTGCTGAGATTACAGACGTGAACCCATGCCTGGCCAGGAATTTTGTTTTTCAGGAAGGCTTTCTACTAATGGAATTCCTGGCCTTGAGAGGATGTTACTTTCGAAGGAAAGGATTTTTTTGTTATTAAAAGGTAAGATTCCTGGATTCTTATTGGACTGTTATCTCTGTTATGAGTAATCCATCTTTAGTCATTCACCACTAGGGTTGTATTTAATTAAGTCTGAGTTATTTTATGGTGGTGTGGTTTTGTTTTGTTTTGTTTTTACCAAATTTTGTTCTCATTGCCGTGGCTTGAGGGCAATGGCGTGATCTCAGGTCACCACATTCTCTGCCTTCCAGGTTCAAGCAATTCTCCTGCCTCAGCCTCCTGAGTAGCTGGATTTACAGGCATGTGCCACCATGCCTGGCTAATTTTTTGTATTTTTAGTAGAGATGGTGTTTCACCATGTTGACCAGGCTGGTCTAGAACTCCTGACCTTGGGTGATCCACCCGCCTCGGCCTCCCAAAGTGCTGGGATTACAGACATGAGCCACTGCGCCCAGCCTGGGCCTGCTTCTTTCTCTTTTTCTTTTTTTTTCATTAGCAGCTTAAAATTGGTGCCTTATTCAGACACAAGCAAAAGGACATTAGCCCAGCTTTGGAAATAGGTGAGAGGCCATCTATGATTTTCCTAGTTTCTCCTCCCCCTTTGCTTTTTGCTCTCTTGTTAGTATATTAATTGTTTTCACTCTCTGAATCTTTTTTCCCCATTTCTTTGGCAGACATTTTTACTTGTCTTGGAAGAGTAGGTGAAGAGCTGTTTTTAGGACTCTTTGAAAGGGTACAGTATGGGTGACAGTCTTGGCTAATGGTAACATCCAGGGAGCTGGGGTCAGCGTGAGCTGGAATCAGTTCAAATTAGCAAAGCACTGGCACTCAGTGGCAGGAATACAAGTGACTGCAAAGTGTTAAACACATCTGGAAAGGGATACTGACATCATCCTCAGAATCTGTGGGGAGTTCACATAGCCAGTTAAGACCCATTCCTCTTTGACCCTGTAAAGATTCTTTAAAGACTAATACCCTTAGTGGTTTTCTAGCCAGCTTGCCTGCTCATTTATCTTTGAGGACGACATGCCTTGTGGAGCTCCACAGGCCCCAGAGGGGTATGGATTCTGCATTTGAAAGTGCTGAAGCTGAGAGACTGGGTCTTGGTGGACCCCAAGAGGTCTGTTTCTCCTCTACTCATTGTTCCTTTTTTTCCCAGCAGCTGGCATTGCTGTTTAAATGGGTTGTTCTTTGCTGTTTTAAGTTGTTTCATAGTGGTGTGTCAGGATTTGGGTTTTCTTAATACTTTCCAAGCTGGTGACTTGAGTGGTGGTTAGGGAGGAACTGTTTTAGGGCTGTTCTGGAGCTATTGAGGTCAGGTGTCTAGATACTCCCAGCTTGTCTGTTGAGGAGAATGCTGTTCTCATTGTGCTGCCTTTGGTGGTGCTGTGTGTGGCTCTTTAGATGTGGGTGGAGGTGAGCTGGGGGAGTTAATGAGATCTTTTTTAGGTGCTTTTGATAAAGTAGCCTGCACTACAGGATTCACTGTGACTTTTTTCCTTAACCTATGCATTTCTCTCTGCTAGCTTTTGCTGTCTTTCTCATGCCTTTCATTTTCCCAGCTCCTCTTAGTTGAATTAACCTAAGTGCTCTGCTATGGTTTAAATGTGTCCCCCAAAGTTTATGTGCTGGAAACTCAATCCTCAATGCAACAGTTGGGATGTGGGGCCTAATAAAATAGCCTTCATGAATGAGTTAATGTTGTTATTGTGCTAATAGATTAGTAATCACAGAGTGGGTTTATTATAAAACAGAGTTCAGCCCCCTTTGCCCTCTTGCTTTCTTGCACTCTCTTTTCCTTCTGCCTTCTGTAGTGGGATGATGCAGCAAGAAGACCCTTACCAGATGCAGGCCCCTCAACCTTGGACTTCCTAACATCCAGAACTGTTAAGAAATAAAATTTATTCCTTTCCTTTCCTTTTCTTCCTCCTTTCCCTTCTCCCTTTTCTTCCCTTCCCCTCCCTCCCTCTCTCTCTCCCTCCCTCCCTCCTTCCCTCCCTTCCTCCTTCCCTCTTTCTCTCTTTCCCTTCCTTCCTTTCCTTCTTTCCCTTCCTTCCTTTCCTTCCCTCCTTCCCTTTTTCCCTCCTTCCCTCCTTCCTTCCTTTTTTCTTTCCTTCCTTTTTTCCTTTTTATAAATTATGCAGTCTGTGGTATTCTTTTATAGAAGCATGAAATGGACAAAGACTCCATTTTCAAGAGCAAGCACTTTTGTAGTTTCTGAGCGAATTATGACTGCAAAGGAAGTTCTTTAGGTAGCCTCAGATGCACTACCTAGGAAGCATGCTACCAAGCAGACCTAGGATCTAGGATTTGATCAAGTGCTGGGCAACATGATACCTCAGCAATTTAGCACCTCCCTATATACCTCCAGTTGGCTCAGCCCATCAGGGCTAAAACTACCCCTCATATCCTAGTGTCTCTTGTAGGCAGAAGCCTTGCCTAAACCCTAAGCTGCTTGGCTCACATTCTGTCTTGTGCTTTTTTTGTAGGGGGTTCAAATATACACAAAAGAAATATGTTGAACCTCCATGCACCCAACCCGCAGATTAAGCAGTTACCTCCATTTTTCCAGATTTGTTTCGTCTGCTTCAATCTCCCTAAAAATTTATGTTTGTACAGGAAAGACTGAATAAATAGCTAATTCTCCACCCTACCTCTCATCTTAAGTCACTTTTTAGAGTAGTAAGTTAGTGACCTAGTAACCTTCCCTCTACTGACCAGTAGTTTTTTTTCTGAATACCATTATGAACTCAGATTATTGTTTGCATTTGATGTATTTCAGGCCATTGCAGTCTATATTGTTTTGGATGCTTACATTGTCTCATCTAGGTTAATAATTATCTCTTCAAGTTGACTTTCATGTCTTTTTGATGTGATCCTGTTGGACTTTGATGGCTTCCTTGCTTTCTGGCAAAAAAGATGTTCCAGGATCAATATACTGCACCATACATGGAGTCAGCCATTTCTCTAGGGAACCTTGATTCCTTTTAGTAGAGAACACAGTTTGAGGTCTTGGACTGAATGACTTTTGTGAACCTCCTCTCCTGAGACTACAGCCTGCATCCCTGCATATAGCCTGTTTGGAGCTCTTGCTGGGCACCAACAGATCTCCTAAAACTGCTATATAGTTCTGCCTCACTCTTACAAAGATTCATCTCTTGAGAGTTTTGTGCTCTACCCCCAGATGTGGTCTTTCTGGTTCTGAAGCTTTTGCTTCAGTCACCCTGAATTTTGCCAGCCCTATGCATGCTATACCTTGGATTGCCAACTTGCCCTCACTGAAGCCAGTTTCTCTGGTTAGAATAGTTGCCCCAACCCATGCCCAGTACTCTAGTAAACAAGGTTCTACCTGGGCTTAGGTTAACTTTTGCTCCTTTGGCCCTGTGTTCTACCAGCATTCCATTTATCTGAAACTCTCCCTCATCTTAAGAACTTATCTGTTCTTTAATGATTTACTGCTGCTTCCTGGGTTTGAAAGAACCCAGTTCAGGAGTTTCTGTTTTAGTTTGAGATCTCATAGGCCTGTCTCATCAGGTTGGTGTCAGCCCAGCTAGGATTAGGCAGAATTGGGTGGGGGCTGTAGTGCATTTTTGGCACAGCATGTACCTGTCTGACTAATTCTCTGTCTTTTCTTTCCTGTTGCAATTCATGGGTCTTAGCATCTTCTGAATGGTGTTTAGTAGGTCATCCTGTTGATTTCCTGCTAGGGAGTAGCATACTCTGGCTCTGTACCATTGGCCAAGGGACTTAAGGGTAGATGAAGGGCTGCAGTTTTGTTAAATGGAACAATATGAAGAGATGGCATTGTAAAAAAAAAAAAAAAGGCTTGGCAGCAGGGCCCATTTGAATGGTTGGTCCTTGGCTCCTTTGTTGATATAGGCAGATCCTTGATGGGAATTTGGAATGATCCCAAATATTGTAGATCACTGGTACATCAAGTCATCCTCAAGGTTGTCTGTGTAACAGTCTTGAATGATATTTTGTCAGTCTTTGGAGATTCTCTGTATAGGGTTTAATCATTTAGTTATTTCAGTTGAGCCTGTTTAGTTTCTTTGCAAGGAGATAAGAAATGTGAAAGAGATGCAGACATTAGGGAAAAAAAGTCAGGAGCCTTGTTTCCCCACCCTCTACTTGGGTTCTGGAACTAGACTCATAGGTGAGTAGTGAGGAGCTGGGCCCAAGCACATTAATCCTAGATCTAGCTCTGCTTTGCGCTCGCTCCAGTTCTTGTATCAAATTCACTTCAAGCCACCCAGAGTAGTATGTAGAGGAGTCATTCAGGACCGTGCTTATACTTCATTGTATCAAATGGGAGATCCAGTAATTTATAGCCTATTGTTTCTGGAGCCTGGAGATGGCTCTGCATAAGATTTGCTGAAGCAAATTTTATTACATTAGAAGAGAACCTAGCTGGCTGCATCCTACACTGGAAGCTTTTAGCTGCTAATAAGGAGGTCATGTAAAGGTCACAGAATGACTCTGGAATCCATTCCCCACCAAGAAAGAATAATGACATTCTATGTTGGCCTCTTTTCATTTCCCTTTGATTTTGAGTAATAAATTCTCTCCTCACTTCCCAGCTGAACTGTTTGGGAGTCTCTATTCCCTAGAAAGACTCTGGTCACATACCCATCAGATTAAATTAGGTGAAAACTCTTTGGCCTTCATGAATGTTGAAGGATTTCAAAGGGCTAATGGAAATTCTTCTAGAAGTAACTGCAACCTCCGCCTTCCGGGTTCAAGAGATTTTCCTGCCTCAGCCTCCCGAGTAGCTGGGATTACAGGTGTCCACCACCATGCCCAACTAATTTTTGTATTTTTAGTAGAGACGGGATTTCACCATGTTGGCCAGGCTGATCTAGAACTTTTGACCTCAGGTGATCTGCCCGCCTCAGCCTCCCAAAGTGCTGGGATTACAGGCGTGATCCACCGTGCCCAGTTAAACTTCAGTTTTTCATGTTCCATGCATAGGTCAGGGTCTTAGGGAGTGATTCATTCTAGCAGAACTCCCTGGATTTTAAGGCAGATGTTCCATTTATTAATTGACAAAGGAGGCATATTTCTCCCCTGGTAACCCAAAGATTTAGGTCATTTTCCCAGAGACTCCATTTCCACTGTGAGGGTTCTTGGAAAACTAAGCAGAGGATGAGGAAAAGTCTGTGAACAAGCTTGCTGGTCTCTCCCTGTCCTACAAAAGAGCATACCTCTTCTGTAACCAGAAGGCCCTTTTGATTAGTCAAGGCTGGACAGACTGAGATTGGGGGTGTGTGTGTGTGTGTGTGTGTGTGTGTGTTTGTGTGTGTCTTGAGACAGGGTCTCACTCTGTCACCCAGGCTGGAGTGCAGTGGTGAGATCAGAGCTCACTGCAGCTTCCACTTCCTGGGCTCAAGCGATCCTCCTATTTCATCCTCCAGAGTAGCTGGGACTATACGAATGTTTTACCGCACCCAGTTCATTTTCTAATTTTTTGTAGAGATGAGGTTTCACTGTGTTGCTCAGGCTGGTCTTGAACTCCTGGCCTCACGGAATCCTTCTGTCTTAGTCTCCCAGTGGGCTGGGATTATAGGTATGAGCCACCTCACCTGACCTGCGACGATTTTTCAACAATGTAATTTCTCTTTTACAGAGCCACCTAAGCTGAAGATTCCCTTGAGAACAAGTACTGTCCTGCGGTTTCATGGCCCTTCTTCCATTTGTGGTTCTTGCGAAGTGGAATTTAAATGACATCTTATCAAGATGGATAAACCCTAGTTTCCCAGTGCTGGAATATAGAAAATGGATGGACAAGTAAATCCCACTCAGCACCCATAGTCCAGGCATGGGGACCTCAACACACCTGAGCCCCAGACATCACCTTTCATTGTGAGTAGCTCTGAGATGACACTTCTGCTGTTCCCAATTCCAGCATTAATTGGATTAGATAGTTATTTTATGAAGAATTTTCATATGCCACAATCCTGACCATATCTTCAAGTGAACAGAAAAATTCTATTAAAAAGTCAACCTTCTGTCTCACTCTGTTGCCCAGACTGGAGTGCAGTGGTGCAATTATGGCTCACTGCAGCCTCAACCTCCTGGGCTCAAGCAATCCTCCTGCCTCAGCCTCACAAGTAGCTGGGACTACAGGTGCTTGTCACCACACCTCACTAATTTTCCCATTTGTGTTATATGTGGATTCCACAGGACTGACTTCGAAAACTTGAGTATGCGTGGATTTTGGTATACACAGAAATGGGAGAGCTGGAACTAATCCCCCCATATACCAAGGGACAAATTGTATCTGTTTCTACAATTATACAGTAGGAGACATTATGTTCCATGACAATGGTAATTTTTAATGACAGTTTTTAATTGAGTGAAATTACCATAAAAATAATAATAGTAGCAGCTAATATTTACTGAGCTGTTACTAGGTGCCTATAAATAGCATAGATTTTTAAATTCTCCATAATTCTTCCTTATTTCACTTAACCACTCTATCTTAAATTACTCATGCTTGCCTCAGTAGCACACATACTTAAGTTGGAACAATAGAGAGATTGGCATGGCCTCTGTGAAAGAATGACATGCAAATTTGTGAAGCATTCCATATTTTTTTAAAAAAAGAGAAAAAAATTACTCCCAGATTTTCACTGTGTTTGTGCATATGACCTTTTGTTTAGGTTGAATTATATCCAAAGATGAAATTTCCAGAAGTGAGATTACTGTGAGTCACAGGGCATGAGCATTCTTATTACCCTTGATGTAAATTGCAAAGCTTTCAGGCATGGTGGCTGTCAGCCTGTAATTCCAGCACTTTGGGAGGCTGAGGTGGGAGGATTGCTTGAGGCCAGGAGTTGGAGGAGGCAGTATAATGAGTCACTGTCTGTATGATTTAAAAAAAATTTCCAAGCTTTATGCTGGAAGGCTTATATACATTTTAAACACCACTAATACTACAAGAAAATGGCCATTTCACTGCACCTTCGCCCACACAGGTATTATAATTTAACAAGTTATTTTCTGTGTGATAAATGAAAGACCTCATATTATTACTTTGTCACCCATTCTTTTTTCTTTTTGAGGCGCAGTCTCGCTCTGTCGACCAGGCTGGAGTGCAGTGGTGTGATCTTGGCTCACTGCAACCTGTGCCTCCCAGGTTCAAGCGATTCTCCTGCCTCAGCCTTCTGAGTAGCTGGGATTACAGGCACATGCCACCATGCCCGGCTAATTTTTGTATTTTTAGTAGAAACGTGGTTTCACCATGTTGATCAGGCTGGTCTCGAACTCCTGACCTCGTGATCTACCCGCCTCGGCCTCCCAGAGTGCTTGATTACAGCTGTGAGCCATGTGCCCAGCCTATTTGTCACATATTTTATCTTTCCTTATGTTAGCTTATTAGCTTTATTTCTTTATTGTCCTTTTTTTTTTTTTTTGAGATGAAGTCTCGCTCTGTCTCCTAGGCTTCAGTGTAGTGGCACAGTCTCAACTCACTGCAGCCTTGACCTCCTAGGCTCAGGTGATCCTTCCACCTCAGTAGTTGGGACTGTAGGCACATGCCACTATGCCTGGCCAATTATTTTTATTTTTTTATTTTTACTAGAGACGAGGTCTTGCTTTGTTTCTTAGGCTGGTCTGGAACTCCTGGCCTCAAGCAATCCCCCCACCACCCCCTCCCAAAGTACTGGTATTATAAGCATGAGCCACCATGCCTGGGGTATCTGTGTCTTTTCCATTTATTTATTGAGTTACTTTGTCTTTTACTAATTCAATGATCTGTTTAATCTTTTATTAAATTATAAAAATAATAAATACTTTTAAATAAGTGAAAAATGTCCTTCACTCTTTAGACCCATAATCTTATCTCAGGAAATAATTGCAATTGAGAAAATGGTCCATATCCTTCAAGATACATACATGGTGATTGAACATCACTTCATATTTTCATATTTCGTGGACATTTGTGCCAATACCTATTGATCTATCTTAATCCTTTTCATGGTTGCATAATATTTTACTATATGGATGTATCACAATTTACCAGTACCAGTCAACTGCTGGAGGCATTTAGGCTCCTTCTGATATTTGCTTTGAACTCTTTATATAATTAAAAATTAACCCCCTCAGCCAGGTGTGGCAGCTCACACCTGTAATCCCAGCATTTTGGAAGGCTGAGGTGAGAGAACTGCCTGAGTGTAGGAGATCACCACCAACCTGGTCAACATAGTGACACTTTGTCTCTACTAAAAATTAAAAAAAAAAAAAGAGCTACATGTTGCAGTGCACACCTGTAGTCCCAGCTACTGGGGAGGCTAAGACTGGAGGATCACTTGAGTCTAGAGGGTTGAGGCTGCAGTAAGCTATGATCACACCATTGCACTTTAGCTTTGCTAAGAGCAAGACCGCATTTCTTAAACAAAATAAAAATTAGATGGGAATATTGCTCAAGCCCTGGAGGTTGAGGCTGCAGTTAACTGTGATTGCACCACTGCAGTCCAGCCTAGGCGATAGAGCAAGACTCTTTCTCTAAAAATAAAATAAAATAAAAATTAACCTTCTATCATATTTCCCAGTAACACCTTCCCTCCTACATTTCTCCTAGAAGCCCTTAAATTTTGTTTTTCACATGTCATTTAAAACTTTTAAGTGCTGATGTCTGTGTCATCCCTCTTTTTTTTTTTTTTTTTTTTTTTTTTTTAATGTCTTTTTTTCACTTCTAGCTGGACCTACCATGAAAGACTTCTGAATCCAGGAAGAGAAACTGACTGGGCAACATGTTATTCAGGTACAAAAAGACTTCGACTGTAACTCAAAAATGATCAAATAATAGTGCATGCATCAAGTGCAATGGGAAGCTCTTCTGGAGAGGGAGAGAAGCTTCCAGTTAAGGTGACATTGAAGCCAAGTCCTGTAAGATAAGGAAGAGTTGTATGAGAGTGGGGAGGGAAGGGGGAGGTGGAGGGATGGGGATTGGGCTGGGATGGGATGCAGTGAGCTGCCCAGGCAGGGAAACCAGCACTATACAGACCTGAACAATGAAGATGGCACATTTTGTTCAGGGAATGGTGAATTAAGTGTGGCAGAAATGCTTTGTAGAGACAGTAATTTGCTTGTATGGAATTTTGCGCAAGAGACCTCATTACAGTTTCTAATTTTTTGATGTTATCATGCATCACTGCCCTTGTCAGATAGTATCGTGATCACAATAACATCAAGCATAATATTTCATTGATTCTCACAAAAACAGGTGGGTGCCACAGTTATCCCCATTATATGCACAAAATGATGAAGACTTGGGGTTAATGAGCTATTTGCCCAAGCTCACCTGAATATTAAGACTGAGTCAAATGTTAGTCTGGTCTGACTTTAATGCTTGCCTTGTTCATGAGCACCATGCATTGCCTCTCCTGTGCAGTTAAGCAGGTAGACAGGTGAGAGAAGATCCCGTGTGATATCGGGCGAAATTCACCCCTGATATTTCATGTAGGTTCTTTTCTATTTTCCCTGAGTGTCGGCCGGTCTGAGAAATAAAGGGAAAGAGTACAAAAGAGAGAAATTTTAAAGCTGGGTGTCCAGGGGAGACATCACATGCCGGCAGGTTCCGTGATGCCCCCCAAGCTGCAAAACCAACAAGTTTTTATTAGTGATTTTCAAAAGGGGAGGGAGTGTACGAATAGGGTGTGGGTCACAGAGATCACATGCTTCACAAGGTAATAACATATCACAAGGCAGATGGAGGCAGGGCAAGATCACAGGACCACAGGACTGGGGCGAAATTAAAATTGCTAATGAAGTTTCGGGCACGCATTGTCATTGATAACATCTTATCAGGAGAAAGGGTTTGAGAGCAGACAACCCATCTGACCAAAATTTATTAGGCGGGAATTTCCTTGTCCTGATAAGCCTGGGAGCGCCACGCGAGCCCAGGGCTTATTTCATCCCTTATCGACGACTGTAAAAGACAGCCGTCCCCAAAGCGGCCATTTCAGAGGCCTCCCCTTAGGGATGCATTCTCTTTCTCAGGGATGTTCTTTGCTGAGAAAAAGAATTCAGCAATATTTCTCCTATTTGCTTTTGAAAGAAGAGAAATATGGCTCTGTTCCACCCGGCCCACAGGCAGCCAGAGTTTAAGGTTATCTCCCTTGTTCCCTGAAATTGCTGTTATCCTGTTCTTTTTTCAAGGTGCCCAGGTTTCATATTGTTTAAACAACTTGTGCAGTTAACGCAATTATCACAGGGTCCTGCGGGGACATTCATCCTCAGCTTATGAAGATGACTGGATTAAGAGATTAAAGTAAAGACAGGCATAGGAAGTCACAAGGGTATTGATTGGGGAAGTGATAAGTGTCCATGAAATCTTCACAATTTATGTTCAGCGATTGCAGTAAAGACAGGCCTAAGAAATTATAGAAGTATTAATTTGGGGAACTAATAAATGTCCATGAAATCTTCACAATTTATGTTCTTCTGCCATGGCTTCAGCCGGTCCCTCCGTTTGGGGTCCCTGACTTCCCGCAACACGTTTCTCTCTACTCACAGACTTCTGCCCAAATGTGTGTGCAGAGTTTCTACACCAGTTCTCCAACTCTCTGGATACCAACCGCGTATCCCACAATTCCATTCTGACACTACCTAGAGTTAGCGCAGAACCCACAGGTTAGGGGCTCAGTCCCACAAGACCACCCTCACTTCAGATGCCAGTTGCAAGTCCTAGGTTGTCACCTGTATTTTGACCAACCAGTTAGAAATCAGGGTTTCCCATGACCCTCTTCTTGAGTTTAATTATTTACTAGAACAACTCACAGAACTTAGAAAAACAGGTTTTTTTCTTTTCTTTTTAAGAGACAGGGCCTCGCTCTGTTGTCCAGGCTGGTGTGCAGTGGTGCAATCATAGCTCATTGAAGCCTCAACCTCCAGGGCTCAAGTGATTCTCCTGCTGCAGCCTCTCAAGTAGCTGGAATTACAGGGTTCCCACAACCACATTTGGCTAATTTCTTTTATTTTTTGTATAGATGGGGTCTTCTTATGTTGCCCAGGCTGGTCTCAAATTCCTAGGCTCAAGTGATTCCGCCCACCTCTGCCTCCCAAAGTGCTGGGATTACGGGCATGAGCCAGCGCATCTGGCTACCTTATTTTTCTATTACTGGCTCAATGTAATGGCTCCATCTCAGGAACAGCCAATGAAAGAGATGCACAGGACAGGGTAAGTGGGGAGGGGCACAGAGCTTCCATGCCCTCTGTTGGGCACACTACCCTCCCAGGACCTCCTTGTGTTTAGCAACACAGAAGCCCTCCAAACCCTGCTGTTTGGGTTTTTATGGAGGCATGATTGATAAAATCATTGGCCATTGGTAGTTAAGTCAATCTCCAGTTCCTTTTGCCTCCTGGAGTTCAGCAGGTGAGGCTGAAAGTTCCAAGCCTCAAAAAATGTGGTTGGGGCCAGGTGCGGTGGCTCACTCCTGTAATCCTTGCAGTTTGGAAGGCTGAGGCACATGGACCACTTGAGGTCAGGAGTTTGAGACCAGCCTGACCAACATGGTGAAACCCCGTTTCTACTAAAAATAACAACAATTAGCTAGGCATTGTGGCACATCCCTATAATTCCAGCTACTCGGGAGGCTGAGGCAGGAGAATTGCTTGAACCCGGGAGGTGGAGGTTGTAGTGAGCTGAGATTGTGCCATTGCACTGCAGCCTGGGCTACAAGAGCCAAACTCCGTTTAAAAAAAAAAAAATGTGGTTGCTTTCTCTGGCAGCTAGCCCTCCTCCTGAAGCAGTCTAGGAGCTTGCAGCCACCCTGTTAGCTCAACAGCATCCCACATGCATTCTTACCATGCTGCAGATCTGAAAGACCTTAGAGGCCCTTGTCTCAGGAACCTGGGACTAAGACTAAATATCAAAACAGAAAATGCTCCTATTACCTCTGTCACGAACGGCTTTATAAGAGCTTTGGAAGCTGTATGCCAGGAACCAGGGGCAGAGACCAAATGTATATTTCTTTTCTTATATTGGAGACAGAGTCTCACTCTGCCACTGAGGCTGGAGTGCAGTGATGTGATCATAGCTCACTGCAGCCTTGACCTCCTAGGCTAAAGCAATCCTCCCACCTTAGCCTCTCCAGTAGCTGGAACTACAGGCATGCATCACCATGTCCAGCTGATTTTAATTTTAATTTTGTAAAGGCAGGGTCTTCCTATTTTCCCCAGGCTGATCTCTAACTCTTGGCCTCAAGCAATTCTTCCTCTTTGGCCTCCCAAAATGTTGGGATTACAGATGGGAGCCCCCATACCCACCAATCACAAGGATCTTTATAAGAGAAGGAGGTAGGAGAGTCAGAATTAGAGAAAGTGATGTGGTAATGGAAGAAGAGGTCAGAGAGGGAGATTTGAAGATGCTGCACTTCTGGCCTTGAATATGGAGTCACGAGGTAAGTCAAGGAATGGGGGTGGCTTCTAGAAGCTGGAAAAGGCAAAGGAGCACATTCTGTCTAGAGCCTCCCCCAGAAGGAATGCAGCCCCTCTGACACCTTGACTTTAGCCTTAATAGACCTAGTTGGGCTTCTGGCCCCCAGAACTGTAAGATGGTAGATTTGTGGTGTTTGATGCCACTAAATGTAGGGTACTTTGTTGTAGCAACAACACAAAATGAACATGAAGCTGGGACCTCATGTTACAGTTGCTCACGCCTGTAATCCCAGAACTTTAGGAGGCTGAGGTGGGAGGATCGCTTAAGCCCAGGAGCTTAAGACCAGCCTGGGCAACATAATGAGACCTCATGTCTAAAAAAAATTTTTTTAAAAGGCCAGACGCAGTGGCTCACGCCTGTAATCCCAGCACTTTGGGAGGCCGAGGAGGGTGGATCATGAGGTCAGAAGTTCAAGACCAGCCTAGCCAAGATGGTGAAACCCCATCTCTACTAAAAATACAAACATTAGCCAGGTGTGGTGGTGGGTGCCTGTAATCCCAGCTACTCGGGAGGCAGAGAATCACTTGAACCCAAAAGGCAGACATTGCAGTGAGCCAAGATCGCACCCTTACACTTCAGCCTGGGCGACCGAGACTCCGTCTCAAAAAAAAAAAAAAAAAAAAAGCCATGTGTTGTGGCATGCAGCTGTAGTCTCAGTTCCTAGGGTGGCTGAGGCGGGAGGATTGTTTAAGCCTGGGAGGTTGAAGTTGCTGTGAGCTGTGATTGCACCAGTGTACTCCAGCCTGGGCGATAAAGCAAGACCTTGTTTCAAAAAGAAAGAAAGAAATGAGCATGGTGGGAATGGGGACAGATGGCAGTGTTAAGTAGAGTGGTCAGGGTTGGCCTCATAAGTGAATATTGAGCAAAAGTTTGAAGCAGATGATGGAGCTGGCCAAGGTGCTGAGGGAAGAGCATTGTAGGCTGAGTCAACAGGATAAAGGCATTAGGAGGAAACTCTCTGGTGTGTCTGAGGCTCTGGAAGGAGGCCAGTGGAGCAAAGAGATAGAGGGAGCGAAGTCAGCGAGGAGGCCAGGGAGTTGCTGGGCTGGGATCGGTACAGATCGTGTAAGCCCTGGGATGCTATTGCTGGGGCTTTGGCTTTTACTCTGACTAAAATGGGAACCACCGAGGGCTTCTGAGCAGAGAGGCGACGTGATCTGTCTCCTGATTTAAAAGCACGACCTGGCTGCCAAGTTGAGAAAGACTATGGGAAGATTTGGGTAGAAGCATGGGGGCCAAGCTGTGGCAACATCCCGGTGGGAGATGATAGTGATCCTGACCGGGTTCACGGTGGTGGTGAGAGATGGTCAGAGCCTGGATACATGTTGAAGTCAGTCAGTAGGATTTCCTGACAGACTGGATGTGAGCTGTGAGAGAAGGCAGTGGTCAAGGTTGAGTTTGATTCTGATTGAATTATTAAGTAATTTTAAAAAACACTACTGCCTTTCCCAATCCTACCAAGTAAAGGATGCTAGATAAAAGAAATCTCAGGTCAGGCCAGGTGCAGTGGCTCACACCTATAGTTCCAACAGTTTGAGAGGCAGAGATGGGAGTATGTTTTAAGGCCATGAGTTTGAGAGCAGCCTGGGCAACACAGCGAGACCTCCTCTCTACAAAAATAAAAAAAATAAATTTAATAAAATAAAATAAATATAGCCAGGCATGATGGTATGTACCTATGGCCCCAGTTACTCATGTGGCTGAGATGGGCAGATCTCTTGATTCTAGGAGTTTGAGGCCAGCTTGGGCAACATAGCAAGACTTCTCTCTCTACAAAAATGAAAAAAAGTGCCTGACATGGTGGTACTTGCCTGTATTCCCAGGTATGGGGACAGCTGAGGCGGGAGCATCTCTTGAGCCCAGTTGGTCAAGGTTGCAGTGAGCTATGATTATACCACTGCACTCCATCCTGGGTGACAGAGTGGGACCCTGTCTCAAAATACAAATACAAATGAAATCTCAAGTCAGACCAGTCCCTTCTAGGCTATGTAGGCCTTGTAACCACATAGCTGCATGATCGGGTTTGTGTGGCTGTGGATGAGGAGACCCCTGTCCAATTGTTGGCTATGTAATCAGTTTATTTTTCAATATAGTAATCAAATATATTTCATCATACTTGATGGTCTCAGATATGTGTGGATTTTGGAATTCCCCTTGGAACAGGTTGTAACATCTTATTGGCTCCACAACTCCATAATTTTTTTAATCTGATCAGTTTTTAATAAGATCAGAATTGATATTAGACTACTTAATCGGTTTTGTTAATGAGAAAATGAAATTGTGTTGTTTGCATTTTATCCAAGATGGGTGCCATATTGGCTAAATCTCATCAATACTTGAACAAATGCAAAATTAGAGCTTCTTTATCATGAAACACGATGTAATTCTTGAAGAAGATGCCATTTCTTTTTTTTCTTTTTTTTTAAGATAAGAGTCTTTCTCTTGTCACCCAGGCTGGAGTGCAATGGTGTGATTTTGGCTCACTGCAACCTTCACCTTCTGGGTTCAAGCAATTCTCCTGCCTCAGCCTCCCGAGTAGCTGAGATTACAGGCGCCCGCCACCATACCCAGCTAATTTTTGTATTTTTAGTAGAGATGGGGTTTCACCATGTTGGCCAGGCTCCTCTGGAGCTCCTGACCTCAGGCAATCTGCCTGCCTCAGCCTCCCAAAATTCAAGGAGTACAGATGTGAGCAACCACGCCCGGCCTCCATTTCTTTTTTGTAGTCTTTAATAAACAGCTGCTATCATTGCAGACTTGCTATTTAGGCACTTAGGAATTTTTCACTAGAAGGCATGTAAGTAAGACCATGGGCATTTGTAATGAATTTAGCATTCATTCTTTGACTACATGACTGTCCCCAGAGCTGTAACTTTATTGAATTTTTTAGAAGCCATTTAGCTAGCAACTGAGCCTAACCAGCCACTCACCGTCATTATTCAGTGCTCTTTTATTATTGTCTATTTCTCCTCCAACTTGGCTACACTCACAAAGTGATAAAAACTTGCATTTGTTTTCTTTCCTTTTCAGAGACAGCGTCTTGCTCTGTTGCTCAGGCTACAGTACAGTGACATGATCATGGTTCACTGTAGCCTCAAACTCCTGGGCTCAAGTGGTTCTCTCACTTCAGTCTCCCAAGTAGCTGGGACTAAAGACATGTGCCACCATGTCCAGCTAATTTTTTATCATAGAGACGGGATCTTGCCACGTTGCTCCGACTGGGCTCAAAACTCCTGACCTCAAGTGGTCCTCCTGCCTCAGCCTCCCAAAGTGCTGGGATTACAGGCAGGCATGACCACCTGTGCCCAGCCCCCTATTATTATTATTTTAAATAATAGCTTTATTAAAATATTCACATACCATTCACTTTATTTATTGAAATCTGCAATTCAGTAGGTTTTAGAATATTCACAGAGCTGTGCATAGATCACCACAGTCACTTTTAGAACCTTTCATTACCCTATAGAGAAATCCATACCCCTTAGCCACTACCTCCTACTCTCCCCACCTACCTTCGCCCCCAGCCTTAGGCAACCATTGATTAATTTTTTTGTCACTATAGATTTGCCTAATCTGGACAAATAGAATTGTACAATATGTGATCTTTTGTGGCTTTTTTTCCCTCTTAGCACAGTGTTTTCAAAGTTCCTTTATGTCATAGTGTGTATCAATATTTCATTCCTTCCATGGCAGTATTCCATGGTAGAGACACACTGCATTTTGTTTATCTGTTCATCAGTTGGTGGGTATTTGGGTTGTTTCCATGTATTCCATGTATTGGTCATTATGAATAATGCTGCTGTGAAGATTGTTGTACAAGTTTTTGTGTGGACATATATTTTTATTTTTCTGGGATATATGCCTAGGAGTGAAATTGTTGCATTATAGGATGACTGTACATTTAGCCTTTTGAGAAACTGCCAGACTGTTTTCTAACGTGGCTACACCAGTTGGGTGCAATGGCTCACACCTGTAATCCCAGCTACTCAGGAGGCTCAGCTAGGAGGATGGCTTGAGCCCATGAATTCAAGACCAGCCTGGGCAAGATAGTGAAACCCTGTGTTGATTTTTTAAAAATCCAATTAAAGTGACAAGAAAAGAAATACCCAAACAAAATGGTTACACGATTTTATGTTCCCACCAGTAATGTATGTGGGTTCCAATTCCTCCACATCTTCACTGACATTTTTTTTTTCTAGATAGGGGCTTGCTCTGTCTCTCAGGCCGCAGTGCAGTGATGCCATCACAGTTCACTGCAGCCTTGACCTCCCAGGCACAAGTGATTCTCTCATCTCAGCCTCCTGAGTAGCTGAAAATTACAGGTGTACGCCACCATGCCTGGCTAATTTTTATATTTTTTTGTAGTGATGGGATTTTACCATGTTGTCCAGGCTGGTCTCATACTCCTGGCCTCAAGTGATCTGCCCACCTCAGCCTCCCTAAGTTCTGGAATTACAGGCTGCCACCATGCCCAGCCTTCACCAACATTTGCCATTATCTGTTTTTTTTTTCTTCCTTTATACCTTAAAGCAGTATAAGAACAAGTGTCTTCAATGATAGGAAACAGTATAATCCCAGGGCATTGGGAGGCTAAGACAGGAAGATGTCTTGATGCCAGGAGTTTTTTTTGTTGTTGTTGTTTTTGTTTTTGTTATTGTTGTTGTTGTTGTTTTTGACAGAGTCTAGCTCTGTCACCCAGGGTGGAGTGCAGTGATGGGGTCCACTGCAACCTCCACCTCCCAGGTTCAGGTGATTCTCCTGCCTCAGCCTCCCGAGTAGGTGAGACTACAGGTACACGCCACTACTGCCCAGCTGATTTTTGTATTTTTGATAGAGTCAGAGTTTCACCATGTTGGCCAGGCTGGTCTCGAACTCCAGGCTTCAGGTGATTTGCCTGCCTTAGCTTCCCAAAGTGCTGGGATTACAAGCATGAGCCACCATGCCCAGCCTGATGCCAGGAGTTTTAGACTAGCCTGGGCAACCTAGCAAGACCTTGTCTCTACAGAATATTTAAAAATTAGCCAAATGTGGTGGTGCCTGTGTATAGTCTCTCTCCCTCTCTCTTTTTTTTTTCTTTCTAACTTTTTGTGACATGGTCTGGCTCTGTCACCCAGGCTGAAGTGCAGTGGTGTGATCATGGCTCACTGCAGCCTGAAACTCCTGGGATCAAGTGATCAATCCTCCCACCTCATCCTACCAAGTAGTAGGGACCACAGGTGTATGCCACCCAGGTCTTGCTATGTTGCCCAGGCTGGTCTTGAGCTCCTGGCCTCAAGCAATCCTCTCACCTTGGCCCCCCACAGTGCAAGGATTACAGGTATGAGCCACCATGCCTGGCCCCTACCCTGCCTATTGAGAACCAAAAGAAGAATCCAAATTCTCCTTAGCTCAACTCGAGCCATTTCCTGATTGCTTCATCAGCAAGGAGCTGGTTATTGGGCTGTCCAGGCCTCCCAAGCAGCACAGAAATGAGGTGAAGGAGTTTTCCTGCTCCTCCACTCTGTAAGGAGTTGGAGGGTGATGTTTACTCGTTTGCAGAGAGAGATGCCTTGTAGGCACCTTAGGATGGAGAGGACCCTGATTCCAATGTCCTTTTTTTCTTTAGAAACAGGACCTTGCCCTGTCACTCAGGATGGAGTTCAGTGGTCCTATCATGGCTCATTATAGCCTCAAACTCCCAGGCTCAAGCAATCCTACCATGTCAGCCTTCCCAGTAGCTGGGACTACAGGTAAGCATCGTGACACTCAGTGAATTTTGTTTTTATTTTGTTGTAGAGATGGGACCTCAGTATGTTGCCACGGCTGACCTTGAACTCCTGCACTCAAGGGATTTTCCTGCCCTGGCCTCCCAAAGTATTGGTATTACAGGCATGAGCCGTTGTGCCCACCGTTTCTGGTTCTTAACCTTCTGCCTTCCTCTTCCAGTTTTAAAGAATGCTTGTAATTACATGGGCTCTCCTAGATACTCCAGGATAATCTTGTTTTAAGGTCAACTGATGAGCAACATTAATTTTATCTGCACTCTTAATTCCCCCTTCCTATGTAACTGTGCTGTGTAACATAGGACATGAGCAATTGGTGGCAGTGGGGGTTCTTACTTTGGCCACCACAGTAACTATTTTATGCCAGGTACTCAGCTAAGCACTGGTGAATTAAGCATGAATAACACACACTCCCTAATCTCCATCCATTCATGGGAGGAGCACCTCACCTGCCATGCTCCTGAGAATCTCGGGAGTCAAAGAAGTCTTCTGTGAGGAGGTGATGCCAAAGCGGACAAGTGACAGAGGAGTCGAAGCTAGCTAGGAAGAGAGTAGAGGTTTAAGGGGAAGTATATTATAAGCAGAGGATATTACCCACTTCAGAGACTCCCAGAGGAGAAAGAGTGTGCGTTCAAGGGGCAGATGAGGCTCAGTTGGACTCCATAGCAGATGAAATGGAGAGGGGCAAGCAGTGAGGCTGCCTTGCAAGGCAGGGCAGAGCAGGGGCTGTTAAGGAGTTTGGACTTAATCCCTGAGGCAAGGAGAAGTGATGTAAATGGGGGAGTAACATGATGAGATTCATGGATTAGAGACATGGCTCAGGCTGCTGTAGAGAAGGCACCAGGGAGAGCAGATGGCTCAATGGGTGTGCAGGAGACCTCTCCCTGAGTTTAGGGAGAGGTTTTTAAAACAGAAGAAGTTTGAGTAATTTAAATGATGATGGGAAGGAGCTAAAAGTGGGGGATAGGTTAAAGATACAGGAAAGTGGGAGGAAGAACTGACAAGTGAGGTTCCAGAGAGGGCAGGAGAAGAGGAGATTCCCATAGGGGGATTAACACTTTCTTTTCTTTTTTCTTTCTAAGACAGGGTCTCACTCTGTCGCCCAGGCTGGAGTGCAGTGGCACAATCTTGGCTCACTGTAGTGTAGACTTCCCAGGCTCAAGGGATTTCTCCCACCCCAGACTCCCAAGTAGCTGGAACTACGGGTGTGCACCACCACCACACCTGGCTAATGTTTCTTTTTTTGGTAGACACAGAGTCTCACTATTTAGCACTGATTGGTCTCCAACTCCTGGCCTCAAGCGATCCTCCTGCCTAGGCTTCCCAAATTGCTGGGATTACAGGCATGAGCCACAATGCCTGGCCTCTGCTAGTTCCGTATTCTCTAGAGTTGTCTTTACTTTGTGCTAGTGTGTCCCTCATTGTGCTGATCCTCTGTAAAAATTAATACCTTTTTTTTTTTTCGAGATGGAGTTTCACTCTTGTTGCCCAGGCTGGAGTGCAATGGCGCTATCTCGGCTCAGCGCAACCTCCACCTGCCGGGTTCAAGCGATTCTCCTGCCTCAGCCTCCCGAGTAGTTGGGATTACAGGCATGTGCCACCATGCCCAGCTAATTTTGTATTTTTAGTAGAGATGGGGTTTCTCCATGCTGGTCAGACTGGTCTCAAACTCCTGATCTCAGGTGATCTGTCTGCCTTGGCCTCCCAAAGTGCTGGGATTACAGGTATGAGCCATTGTGCCTGGCCAAAATTAATACTTTTTATATTAAATTTACATATATATACGTTTTTTCTTTTTGATACCGGGTCTCACACTGTCACCCAGGCTGGAGTACAGTGGCACAACCTCTGCTCACTGCAGCCTCCACCTGCCAGGCTCAAGCAATTCTCCTGCCTCAGCCTCCCGAGTAGCTGGGATTACAGGTAAGTGCCACCACACCCAGCTGATTTTTGTGTTTTTTGTAGAGACGAGGTTTCGCCATATTTCCCAGACTGTTCTCAAACTCCTGAGCTCAAAGCAGTCCACCCACCTTGGCCTCCCAAAGTGCTGGGATTACAGATGTGAGCCATCTTGCTCATTCTAGTTTAAACTTTTGAGTGGTTTGTGTCTCCTGATTGGACTCCTACAAATACAGAATTGATGCTAGGAAGGGTACCAGGAGATAGACGCACACAGATGGGATTTGGGAATAGGTTTGGTTATCCAAGGAGCAGTGCTGAGCTCCTTGCTAATGGGATATGGGATGCTGGTGATTTCCAGGAAGTGACCGCACAATGACTCAAGCTACCACATACTGTTGATTGTGAAATGCCAGTTGAAGCATATGTCCTGCGAGCTTAGGGGTGCTACAAGTTGACCACTGCAGCAGTAAAGATGACTCTGAAGAATGGCGTGGGATGGATCCTTTCGAATGCATTTGAGCAGCGGTCTCCAACCACAGGGCCACAGAGCTGGAGGTGAGCAGCAGGCGAGTGAAGGGAAACTTCATCTGTATTTCTAGCCCCTCCCATCGCTTGCATGACCACCTGAGCTCCATGTCCTGTCAGATCAGCAGCAGCATTAGATTCTCATAGGAGCACAAACTCTGTTGTGAAGTGTGCATGCGAGGGATCTAGGTTGTGTATTCCTTATGAGAATCTAATGCCTGATATTCTGTTACTGTCTCCCATCACCCCAGATGGACAGTCTAATTGCAGGAAAACAAGCTCAGAGATCCCACTGAGTCTACGTTATAGTGAGTTGTAGAATCATTTCATTATATATTACTGTGTAGTAATAATAGAAATAAAGTGCACAATATATGTAATGCACTTGAATCATCCTGAAATTATTCCCTCACTCCCAGTCTGTGGAAAAATTGTCTTCCACACATTCACTCTGTTTTTTGGTAGAGGCAGGGTCTTAATATATTGCCCAGGCTGATCTCAAACTCCTGGCCTCAAGTAATATACCTTTCTCAGCCTCCCAAAGTGCTGAGATTACAGGCATAAGCCACCACCCTCAACCAAGACTTTCTTAAACCAAATAAAAATTAAGTGAGATTACTTGAGCCCAGGTGGTCAAGGCTGCAGTGAGCCTGATTGCACCACTGCACTCCAGCCTAGGTGACAGAATGAGACTGTCTCAAAAAATAAAATAAAATACAAATTAACCCTTTATGACATTCCCAGTAACTTTCCCTCCTAAGTGTTCCCCACAAGTCTTTGAATTCTGTTTAATTTTCACATAACATTTAAGACATTTAAGAACTTATGTCTGTCTGTGTCATCCCTTTATGTCAAAAGATGTCTTTTTGTCACTTCCAGCTGGATCTACCATGAAAGACTTCTGAATCCAGGAAGAGAGACTGACTGGGCAACATGTTATTCAGGAACAAAAAGATTTGGACTGTAACTTAAAAATGATCAAATAATAGTGCATGCATCAAGTGCAATGGGAAGCTCTTCTGGAGAGTGAGAGAAGCTTCCAGTTAAGGTGACATTGAAGCCAAGTCCTGAAAGATGAGGAAGAGTTGTATGAGAGTGGGGAGGGAAGGGGGAGGTGGAGGGATGGTGAATGGGCCGAGATGGGATAGCGCAAACTGCCCGGGAAGGGAAACCAGCACTGTACGGACCTGAACAACGAAGATGGCATATTTTGTTCAGGGAATGGTGAATTAAGTGTGGCAGGAATGCTTTGTAGACACAGTAATTTGCTTGTATGGAATTTTGCCTGAGAGACCTCATTGCAGTTTCTGATTTTTTGATGTCATCATCCATCACTGTCCTTGTCAAATAGTTTGGAATAGGTATAATGATCACAGTAACCCCAAGCATAATATTTCATTAATTCTCACAGAATCACAGGTAGGTGCCACAGTTATCCCCATTTTATGAACGGAGTGATGAAGCCTTAGGAATAATGAATGATTTGCCCAAGCTCACCTGGATATTAAGATTGAGTCAAATGTTGGGTTTGGTCTGACTTTAATGTTTGCTTTGTTCATGAGCACCACATATTGCCTCTCCTATGCAGTTAAGCAGGTAGGTGACAGAAAAGCCCATGTTTGTCTCTACTCACACACTTCTGACTGAATGTATGTATGGAGTTTCTACACCAAATTCTTCAGTGCTCTGGATATTAACTGGGTATCCCATGACTTTATTCTGACACTACCTGGAGTTAGCACAGACCCCACAAGTTAGGGGCTCAGTCCCACGAGGCCATCCTCACTTCAGATGCCAATGGCAAGTCCTAAGTTGTCACCGTACTTTTGACCAACCTGTTACCAATCGGGGGTTCCCATAACTGTCTTCTTGGGTTTAATAATTTGCTAGAACAGTTTACGGAACTCAGAAAAACAGTTTATTTTCTTTTTTTCTGAGAGAGAGGGTCTTATTTTGTTGCCCAGGCTGGTGTGCAATGGTGCAGTCATAGCTCATTGCAGCCTTGATTGTCTGGGCTCCAGTGGTTCTCCCACCTCAGCCTCCCTAGTAGCTGAGTGTACATGCCTGCACCACCACATCTGGCTAGTTTCTTTTATTTTTTGTATAGATGGGGTCTTGTTGTGTTGGCCAGGCTGGCCACAAATTCCTGGTCTCAAGTGATCCTCCCACCTCAGCCTCTGAAAGTGCTGGGATTACAGATGTGAGCCACCACATCTGGCCAGTTCATCTCCTATTACTGGTTCATTGTGAAGGATACATCTCAGAAACAGTCGATGAAAGAGACGTGCATGCTGGATGCAGTGGCTCATGCCTGTAATCTCAGCACTTTGGGAGGCCAAGGTGGGAGGATCGCTTAAACTCAAGAGTTTGAGACCAGCCTGGGCAACATGGTGAAAACCTGTCTCTATAAAAAATTAAAAAAAAAAAATAACTGGTGTGGTGGTGTGCACCTAGAGTTCCAACTACTAGGGAAGCTGAGATGAGAGGATACCTTGAGCTGGGGACTGGGGAGGCTTAGGTTACAGTAAGCTGAGGTTGTGCCACTGCACTCTAGCTTGGACAAAAGAGCCTGATCCTGTCTCAAAAAAAAGAAAGATACCCAGGGCAAGTTAAGTTCGGAGGGGCACAGAGCTCCCATGCCCTCTGTTGAACATGCGACCCTCCCAGCATCTCCTGTGTCCAGCAACCCTGAAAGCTCTGCAAACCCCTTTCAGGGTGTTTATGGAGGCTTTATTATGCAAGCATGATTGATAAAACCTTTGGCTGTTGGTGATTAAGTCAGTCTCCAGCCCCTCCTCCTCCTGGAGTTCAGTGCATGAGGCTGAAAGTTCCAAGCCTCTTATAATGTGGTTGCATGGTAATCAGCCCTCCTCTTGAAGAAATTTAGGAGCTTGCAGTCACGCAGTCATCTCAACAACATCCCCAAATGCATTCTTACCATGCTGGAGATCCCAAAGTTATTAGAGGCTCTTGTGTTAGAAACCTGGGACCAAGACCAAATATTAAAACAAAAGATGTTCCTGTCACATCTGCCACTGAGGTCTTTGTAAGAGCTTTAGAAGCTCTGTGCCACGAACCAGGGACAGAGATTAAATATGTATTTCTTTTCTTTTTTTTGAGACAGAATCTCCTGTGTCATCCAGGCTGGAGTGCAGTGATGTGATCATAGCTCACTATAGCTTTGGCCTCCTGAGATCAAGCAATCCTCCCATCTCAACCTCCCAAGTAGCTAGGACTACACATGCATGTCACCCATGCCCAGCTCATTTTTGTAGAGTCAGAGTTTCGCCATGGTGGCCAGGTTGGCCATGTTGGCCAGATGGGGTCTTCTTTTGTTGCCCAGGCTGGCCACAAATTCGTGGGCTCAAGTGGTCCTCCCACCTCGTCCTTGTAGAGATGAGATTTAGTTATGTCGTCCAGGCTGATCTCAAACTCCTGGGCTAAATCGATTGTCTCACCTCAGCCTCTCAAGTAGCTGGGACTACAGGCGCATACCACCATGTCGGGCTAATATTTATTTTTATTTTTTTCTAGGGGGGGTTCTCACTGTGTTTTTCATGCTAGTTTCAAACTTCGGGCCTCAAGTGTTCCTCCTGCCTTGACCTCCCAAAGTGTTGGGATTCTGGGTGGGAGCCACCATGCCCAGCAATCACAAGGGTCTTTATAAAAGAAAGAGAGTAGGAGATTCAGAATTGGAGCAGGAGATGTGGTGATGAAAGCAGAGGTAAGAGAGGGATCTGATTTGAAGATGCTTCACCTCTGGCTTTGAAGATGGAGTCAGGGGCCATGATCCAAGGAATGGGGGTGGCTTCTAGAAGCTGGAAAAGCCAAGGGAACATATTAGAGTCTCCAGAAGGAATGCAGCCCTGCTGACACCTTGACTTTAGCCTTAATAGACCTAGTTTGGGTGTCTGGCCCCTAGAACTGTAAGATGGTAGATTTGTGGTGTTTTAAGCCACTAAGTGTAGGAAACTGCAAACTATGTTGCAGCAGCAAGAAGAAATGAACATGAAGCCAGGCATGATGGCTCATGCTGGTAATCCCAGCACTTTAGGAATTTAGGCAGGAGGATCACTTGAGGCCAGGAGTTCAAGACCAGTCTGGGCAACATAGTAAGACCTTGTCTCTACAAAAAATGAAAAAATTGGCCAGGCGTGGTGGCTCACGCCTGTAATTCCAGCACTTTGGGAGGCCGAAGCGGGCAGATTACCTGAGGTTAGGAGTTCGAGACCAGCCTGGCCAACATTGTGAAACCCCGGCTCTACTAAAAATACAAAAATTAGCTGGGCATGGTGGCACGCACCTGTAATCCCAGCTACTTGGAAGGCTGAGGCAGGAGAATCACTTGAATCTGGGAGGTGGAGGTTGCAGTGAGCCGGGATCGCACCGTTACACTACAGCCTGGGCAAGAAGAGTGAAACTCTGTCTCAAAATAAAATAAAATAAAATACTAAAAAATTTAGCCAGGCATGGTGGCATGAACCTGGAGTCCCAGCTACTCGGGAGGCTGAGGTGGGAGGATCGCTTGAGCCTGGAAATTTGAGGTTGCAGTGAGCTGTGATTTCGCCACTGCACTCCAGCCTTGGTGACGGTGAGATCTTGAAAAAAAGAAAGAAGAAAGTAAAGAAAGAAGAAATGAGCATGGTGGGCATGGGGACAGATGGCAATGTTAAGTAGAATGGTCAGGGGTGGCCTCCTAAGTGAAAATTGAGTAAAGACTTGAAGGAGGGGAAGGAGGTGGCCAAGGTGCTGAGGGAAGAGGATTGTAGGCAGAAACAATAGAATAAAGTGTCTGAGGTGTGTCTGAGGCTCTGGAAGGAGGCCCATGGAGCAGACGGAGAGAGGGAGAGAATTAGGGGAGGGAGCCAGGGAGTTGCTGGGTGGGGATCAGTACAGATCACATAAGCCCTGGGAGGTTATTGCTGGGGCTTTGGCTTTTACTCTGACTCAGATGGAAACTGCGGGAGGGTTCTGAGCAGAGAGGCGACATGATCTGTCACCTGATTTAAAAGCATTCTCTGGCTGCTGAGTTGAGAAAGACCGTGGGAAGATGTGATAGAAGCATGGGGGCCAAGCTTTGGCAACATCCAGGCGGGAGATGATGGTGGTCCTGACCAGGGTCGTGGTGGTGTTGAGAGATGGTCAGAGGGGAGAAGTAGGGGAGGAGGCCAGGGAGTTGCTGGGTGGGGATCTTTAGTACATGTCGAAGACAGTCAACAGGATTTCCTGACAGACTGGATATGGGGTGTGAGAGAAGGCAGGGGTCAAGGTTGAGTTTGATTGTTACTGAAATTATTAAGTAATTTTAAAAAACACTACTGCCTTTCCCAATCCTACCAAGTATGGGATGCTAGATTAAAGAAATCTCTTCAGGCTCATTGCAGTGGCTCATGCCTGTAGTCCCAGCTGTTTGGTAAGCAGAGGTGCGAGTATCTTTTAAGGGCAGGTGTTCAAGACCAGCCTGGACAACACAGCAAGATCTGCTCTTTACAAAAATATTTTTCAAAATTAAATAAATGTAGCTAGGCATGGTGATGTGTACTTGTAGTTTCAGCTACTCAGGAGGCTGAAGTGGGCAGATCTCTTGAGGTCAGGAGTTTGAGGCCAGCTTGGGCAACATAGCAAGATCCCTCACTCTACAAAAAAATTAAAAAAATAACCAGGCATGGTGACACTCAACTGTACTACCAGCTACTGGGGAGCTGAGGCAGGAAGATGGCTTGAGCCCAGGAGGTCGAGGCTGCAGTGAGCTGTAAGTGCACAGCTGCACTCCAGTTTGGGTGACAGAGCAGGACCTGTCTCACAATACAAATAAAAATACAAGTAAAATAATATCTCAAGTCAGAGCCTTTTGGCTCTGCAGCCCTTGCAACCCCTCAGCCGTGCAGTGGGGTTTGCATCCCTGGGAATGAGGAGACCCCTGCCCGGTGTTGTTGCCTGATTAATCAGTGTTTTAAAACATATATTAATCGGGGTGGGCGCGGTGGCTCACACCTGTAATCCCAGCAATTAGGGAGACCCAGGCGGGTGGATCACCTGAGGTCAAGAGTTCAAGACCAGCCTTGCCAACGTGGCGAAACTCCTTCTCTACTAAGAAAATACAATAATTAGCTGGACATGGTAGTGGGCACCTGTAATCCCAGCTACTTGGGAGGCTGAGGTAGGAGAATCGCTTGAACCTGCGGGGTGGAGGTTGCAATGTGCTGAGATTGCGCCACTTCACTCCAGCCTGGGCAAAAGAACAAGACTTTGTCTCAAAGAAAAAAAAAAAGTAATATATCAACATGTAATGGTTTTATTATTAATATGTAATGAATATTAAATATTTTAAAAATCTTGTATTATATCAACATGTAATGGCTTTAATATGTGATGAATAATATTTAAAAAATTGTGTCTTATTTTCTAGTTTTAATATAATTATCTGCAGAAAGAAATAGTCTTAGAGATCTTCAATAAAGTTAAAAAATGTAAAGGGATGTTAGACCCCAAAAGATTGAGAATTTCTAGTTTAGAAATATTCAGAGTAAGCCACATACAACTTGCTACTTGAACTATTTTTTTTCTTTGCTTTTTATTTTAGGAGATGGGGTCTCACCCTGTCACCCAGGCTTGAGTACAGTAGTGCTATCACAGCTCACTGCAGCCTTGAACTCCTGGGCTAAGGATCCTCCTACCTGAGCCTCCTGAGTAGCTAGGACTGTAGGTATACATGACGATACTTGGCTAATTTTTAAATTGTTTTGTAGACACGGGGTCTCACTTTGTTGGCCAGGCTGGTGTCAAACTAATGGCCTCAAGTGACCCTTCCACCCCTGCCTCCCATCCTCGAGGCATGTGCCACCACAAGGAGCACTTGTTCAATTTTCTAAAAAAAAAATTTCTAAAGTAAGGCTGTGGGATGATGGCAGGAAGATCAAAGAAAAACAGAAGAATAAGTTAAAATGACTTATGCACACATATTCTTTTGACAGCAAGAAGAACATTTAGTATATACATTCCTTACAAACAAACAAAAGGCAGATAAACAATGTTGTATAGGAACTTCAACACACACTGTACAATATTCCCACTTTGCTGACATAAGTTATGGAAATTTCATGGTTTACTTGAGTGTCGCTACCAGTATTTTGCTTCTCTGATGATTTTTATCAACTTCCTCATCTGTTAACTTCTCTCCAAGGTATGTCATGTCATGACATACTGCCTCTGCACGAACGTGGCCAGTGTCTTTCTATTAAACATGTAGAATGCTTTCCTAATTTCTCTTTTTACTGTCTGTCTTTGTGTTCTGCATTTTCCTTACTTTTATTGTCAGAAACTCCAGAAAGTCAATCGTACTAATTTATCACGATTTGCTTTATTAATTTATACTTTGCTTATATGGAATTTTGCCCAGCAGACCTCATTACAATTTCTAACCTGTTTTATTTTGTTTTTTTTCTGAGACAGGGTCTCCCTCTGTTGTCCAAGGCTGGAGTGTAGTAGTGCTATCACAGCTGACTGCAGCCTCAACCTTCCAGGCTGAAGCGATCCTCCCATCTCAACCTCCCACGTGGCTGAGACTACAGGTGCTTGCCACTATGCCCAACTAATATTTGGAATTTTTGTATACGTGGATTCCAGAGGGGTGACAGCGAAACGTGAGTAAGCATGGATTTTGTTATATGCAGAGATGGGGGGCTGGAACTAATTCTGTATACTGAGGGACGACTGTATATGTTTTTACAATTACGCTGTAGGATACATACTGTTGCATAGCCTTGAAAATAATAATTTTTAATTGAGTGGAATAATAATAATATTGATAAAAGTGGCAGCTGGCCAGGTGTGGTGGCTCACACTGGTAATCGCAACACTTTGGGAGGCTGAGGCAGGAGGATGGCTTGAGGCCAAGAGTTTGCGATAGGCCTTGGAAACAAAGGGAGTCACCATCCCTACAGAAAAATACATGAATTAGCCTAGTGTGGTGGCATGTTCCTGTAGTCCCAGCTACTTGGGAGGCTGAGGTGGGAGGATCACTTGAGCCCAGGGAGGCTGAGACTGCAGTGAGTCATGATCAGGCCTCTGCACTCCAGCCTGGGTGACAGAGTGAGACCCTGTCTCAAAACAACAAAAAAGTAGCAGCTAACATCAACTGACCTTTTACCAGGTGCCTATTGATACCATAGTTTAATTTCTTATAACTGTTTCTTATTTCACTTACCAACTCTGTCTTCAGTTACTCCCAGATTTTTACTGTGTGTGTACAGATGACCTTTTGTTTAGATTGAATTGTCTCCCCAGAAGTAAGATTACTGTGAGTCATGGTGAATGGACATTCTCATTACCCTTGATGTAAATTGACAGGGTTTTGGGTGCCTCCCAGCTATAATCTTAGCACTTTGGGAGGCTAAGAGAGGAGGATTGCTTGAGGCCAAGAGTTGGAGGAGGCAGTATGGCAGTATGGTGAGACCCTGTCTCCATTATTTTAAAAAATGGACAGGCTTTACCCTGGAAGGCTTATACACAATTTAAACACCCCTCATAGTATAAGAAAGTGCCCATTTCACTGCACCTTTGCCAGCACAGGGTATTATAATTTAGTAAGTCATTTTTTGTTTGATTATTTTACATAGACAAAAGAACTCATATTACTTTACTTGTCACATTTCAACATCTTTCCTCAGCTTATTAGCTCTATTTCTTTTCTGTCTGTAAATGGTTGTTGTTGTTTTGTTCTTTGAGACAGGGTCTTGCTCTGTCACCAGGCTGGACTGTAGTGGCATAATCATGCCTCACTGCAGCCTTGACCTCCCAGGCTCAAACTTCCGCATTCCGAGTAGCTGGGACTACAAGTGTGCACCACCACCCCCAGCTAACTTTTTTCTTCTTTTGGATAGAGACAGGGTCTCACTGTGTTGTCCAGACCGGTCTCTAGCTCCTGGCCTTAAGCAATCCTCCTGCATTAGCTTCTCAAATTGCTGGAATTTCAGGCATGAGCCACCATGCCTGGCCTGGGCTAGTCCTGTATTCTCTAGAGTTCTCTTTACTTTGTGCTAGCCAATCTCTCATTATGCTGTTCACCTGTTATAATGAATAATTCTCTGTATTAAATTTTACCACTTTAAACTTTTGAGTGGTTTATGCTTCCTGATTGGACTCTGACTAATATGTTAGGAAGGGTCCCAGGAGATAAACCCACACAGATGGGATTTGGGCATAGGTTTGGTTTCCCAGGGGGCAGTGCTGAGCTCTTTGCCAGTGGGAAATGGGATGCTGGTGATTTCCAGTAGGTGACCTCACAGTGACTCAAGCTACCACTTACTGTTGATTGTGACGAAATGCCAGCTGAGGCACATGCCTTGGGAGCTAAGTGGTTGCTGCACTTGACCACTGTGAAGACTGGTGTGGGAAGGGTCGTTTCGGATGCACTTGAGCAGGGGTCCCCAACCCCTGAGCCATGGAGCCGCAAGGAGCCACACAGCAGGAGGTGAGTGGTGTCGAGTGAGGGAGTGAGGGAAGCTTCGTCTGTATTTACAGCCACTCCCCTTTGCTCACATTCCCGCCTGAGCTCCACCTTCTCAGATCAGCAGCAGCATTAGATTCTCATAGGAGAACGCACCCTGTTGTGAACTGTGCATGTGAGGGATCTAGGTTGCGCTGTCCTTATGAGAATCTAATACCTATTGATCTGTCACTTTCTCCCATCACGCTCAGGTGGGACCATCCAGTTGCAGGAAAACAAGCTTAACACGCCCACTGATTCTACATTATGGTGAGTTCTATAATTATTTTATTATATATTACAGTGTAATAATGGAAATAAAGTGCCTAATAAATGCAAATGTGCTTACATCTTTTGGCCCAGCTCCTACCTCCTGGCAGCCTCTCCAGGCCCAGAACTTTCTCCAGTCAGCCTCTACAGACCAAGCTCATGACTCACAATGGCCTATTTAGGCCCATACCCTACGTCACGGCAGTCTCCGCAGATGAGGCTACTGCCTCACAACAGCCTCCACAGGCACAGCTCCATCGTTACAATGGCCTCTTTAGACCCAGCTCCTGCCTCCCAGCCTTCTCTCCAGGCCCTGAACTTTCTCAAGTCGACCTCACCAGGCCCAGCTCATGCTTCTTTGCAGCCTCTCCAGGCCCAGCTCCTGCATCTTGGTGGCCCCTCCAGGCCCAGCCTCTGCCTCCCGTCGGCCTCTACAGTCCCAACATCTGTCTCACAGCAGATTCTTCAGGCCCAGCATCTGCCTCACTGTGGACCCCCCAAGCCAAGCTCCCAACCTTTCAGCAGCTTCTACACACCCAGCTCCTGCCACCCAGTGGCTTCTTTAGGCCAAGCTCATGCTTCACAAGGGCCTTTCCAGGCCCAACTTTTGTCTCATGGCAACCTTCCCTGGCCAGATTCCTGCCTGTCTCCCAGCAGCCTAGACAGGCCCAGGTCTTGCCTCACACTGGCCTCTCTACATCCAGCTTATGCCTCACGGTGGCCTCTCCAGGCCCAACTCCTGTCCCAGGACGTCATCTCCGGGCCCAAAACTTACTCAAGTCAGACTCTCTAGTCCCAACTGCTGCCTCCTGGTGGCCTATGAAGGCCCAAAATCTCCTCAAGTTGGCCTCTCCAGGCCCAGCTCCTGCCTCCTGTCAGCGTCTAGAGGCCCAACCTCTGCCTCATGGGGGCTTCTCCAGGCCCACCTCTTCCTCTTGGCTGGGTCTACAGGCACAACTGCTGCCTCACAACAGCCTTTTTTGGCCCAGTTCCTGTCCAGCTCATGGCGGCCAATGTAGGCCCAAAACTTCCTCAAGTCAAACTCTCCAGGCCCACCTTCTGCTTCCCGGTGGCATGAACCGGCCCAGCTTTGACTTGAGAACAGCCTCTGCAGGCCCTGCTCTTGCCTCCCAGGGGCTTTTTCCAGGCCCAGCTCTTGCCTCATGGCAGCTGCCCCAGGCCGAATTTCTGCCTGCCTGCCAGCAGCCTCAACAGGCACAGCTCCTCCCTCACAGTGGCCCATTTAGGCCCAACTCATGACTGTCAGGCCATTTCCAGGCCTAGTGCCTGCCTCGTGGCTGACTCTTGAAGCCCAAAACTTCCTCAAATCAGCCTTTTGCCCAACTTCTGTCTACTGTCGGACTCTACAGGCCAGCCTCTGCCTCACAGTGGACCCTCCAGACCCAGATGGTGTCTCACTGTGGCATCCTCAGGTGAAGCTCCTGCCTTTCGGCAGCCTCTCCAGGCCCAGCTCCTCCTGCCTCCCAGTGGCCTCTTTCGGCCCAGCCCAGCTCATGCCTCCCGGCGGCCTTCCCAAGCCCCGCTTTTGACTTTCCACCGAAAGTCCCAGCCTCCTGCCTCCCGAAGGCCTGCACAGGCCCAGCCTCTGCCTCACAGCGGACTCTCCTCGCCCAGCTAGCTGTCGCCTCACTGCGGCCTCCCGAGTCCAAAGTTCCTGCCTCTCGGCCGCTTCGGCAGGCCCAGCTCCCGCCTGCCAGTGGCCTCTTCAGGCCCATGGGGCTCATTCCTCACAACGGCCTTTCCAGGCCCAGTTTTTCCCTTCCGGCGGCCTCTCCGGGCCCAGAACCTCCTCAAGTCGGCCTCTCCAGACCCACTTGCATCCTCCGGGCGTCCTCTCCGGGCCCAGCTCTTCTTCCTGGTTGCGTTTCCAGGCCCGACTCCTGCCTCTCAACAACCTCTTTGGACTCAGTGCCTACCCATCTCCTGGCGGCATTGGTCGGCCCACAGCTTCCTCAAGCCAAGCTCCCGAGGCCCAGGTCAGGCCTCACGGTGGCCTCTCCAGGATGAGCTGCTGCCCTCCGATGGCATCTCCAGGCCCCAAATGGTCTCCGGTCGGTGGGCTCCTCCATGCCACTGCTGCATGCCACTGCTTGGGCCTCCATCCCAGCGACTGCTGCAGGCCCAAGTTGTCCTGAAGTCGGCCTCTCCCGGCCCTGCCTCCCAGCAAGTAAGCAAGCTCTTTTGGCTCAACTGCCCAGCTCCCAACCGCCTTTCTAGGCCCCGAACTTTCTGCAGCCAAGCTCTGAGGGCCCACCTCCTGCCTCCCGGTGGCCTGTACAGGCCCAGCACTGGTTGGAGAACAGCCTCTGCAGGCCCCGCCCTTGCCTCCCAGGTGCCTCTCCAGGCCCAGCTCTTGCCCCCACGGCGGCCTCCTGGGGCCAAGTCCCTGCCTGCCTCCCAGCAGCCCGCGTGCGGCCCAGCTCCTCCCTCACGGTGGCCTGTTGATGCCCAACTCATGCCTCTGGCACCCTGCCCAGAGGCGTGAGCCCCTTGCCTCACACCGGCTCCTCCCACGCGGACAGAGGTCAGCGTGAGCCCTTGCCTCAACAGGCCACCGTGAGGGAGGAGCAGGGTCGCACGCGGGCTGCTGGGAGGTAGGCAGGGACTTGGGCCTGGGAGGTCGCGGTGGGGCGAGAGCTGGGCCTGGAGACTCCCCTGGGAGGCAACAGCGGGTTTTGCAGACGCTCTTCTCCAGCCGGAGCTGGGACTGTTCAGTCACTGGGAGAAGGGATGTGGGTCTGAAGAGCTTGGTTGCAGAAACTTCGGGGTCTACAAAGGCCGGCGGGAGCTGAGCCAAAAGAGCTTGTTTGCTGGGAGGCGGGAGATGCAGCCAGGAGGAACAGCTGGGCCATGCGGGAGGCAGAGGCCGGGCCTCCTCAAGTCGGCCTCTCAGACCCACTTGGCAGCCTCCCGGCGTCCTCTCCGGGCCCAGCTCTTCCTCCCGGCTGCGTCTCCAGGCCGGACTCTGGCCCGACTCCAGGTCCCAACAACGTCTTTGGACTCAGCTCCTGCCCAGCTCCCAGCGGCCCTGGTAGGCCCACAACTTCCCTAAGCCAAGCTCCCTAGGCCCAGCTCAGGCCTCACGGTGGCCTCTCCAGGCTCAGCTCCTGCCCTCCGATGGCATCTGCAGGCCCCAAACGGCCTCCGGTCGGTGGGCTCCTCTAGGCCCAGCTTGGGCCTCCTGGCGGCCTCTGCAGGCCCAAGTCGTCCTCAAGTCGGCCTGGAAGTGGGCCTGGAAGAGCAGCAAGTTGGCCTCCCCGGGCCCAGCTCTGTCCTCTCGGCGGCCTCTCCAGGTGCAAAACTTCCTCGAGTCAGCCTCTCCAGGCCCAGCTCCTCCTGCCTCCCAGTGGCCTCTTTCGGCCCAGCCCAGCTCATGGCTCTCGGCGGCCTTCCCAGGCCCCGCTTTTGACTTTTGGCAGCCTCTTCAGGCGCAGAACTTGATCTCCAGTCGGCCTTTGCAGGCCCGGCCTCCTGCCTCTCGAAGGCCTGCACGGGCCCGGCCTCGGCCTCACAGCGGACTCTCCACGCCCAGCTAGCTCTCGCCTCACTGCGGCCTCCCCAGTCCACAGCTCCTGCCTTTCGGCCACTTCGGCAGGTCCAGCTCCTGCCTGCCAGTGGCCTCTTTAGGCCCAGCTCATTCCTCACAACGGCCTTTCCAGGCCCCGTTTTTCCCTTCTGGCAGCCTCTTGGCCTCTAATTTGTTTATCTTTTGTGTATAAATCCCAAAATATGGAATTTTGGAATATTTCCACCATTATATATTTTGGTAGGTAATTTATTTGGAGTGAGTTTCTGCACCATGCCCGATTTTTTTATTTTATTTTCCTTATTATTTGGTGTTAAACAGGTTTAATGATGGTCATGGCAACTTTTTGGCACAGTGAAAAATATCGCCCATGATCAACGTGTTCTGTTCTGGGGAAGGGGGCAAAGGCAGGGTGAATCACTTTCTTAAAAAGTATAGCTCAAGTTGGGAGTGCAGAGGGAATGGGGAGAAAACCCTCCCGCTGCCTGTGTCGAAGTGCAGGAGCCCCCACCCCCATACTCACCTGAGTCCAGCCCTTCTGGGGAAAGAAGGGGTGCATGAACTCCCCCTAGTCCACAGGCGCCTCCCTGTGGCCCAAGGCCCTCTTCACACTCCATCTTGTAGCCCCAGTAGGAGCTATTTTCCGAAAAGTGAAAAGCTCTGAAGGTCCCACAATTCATGGTATGTACAGGGGCTCGGAGGAGGGAAACTGCCCAGCTTTCCCCCGGCACAGCTGCAGGGGTAGGGGGTATAGATAAGAGGAGCAGGCCTTGGCCAGGTGTGGTGGCTCACGCCTGTAATCCCAGCACTTTGGGAGGGGGAGGCAGGCAGATCACGATGTCAGGAGATCGAAATCAGCCTGGCCAAGATGATGAAGCCCCGTCTGTACTAAAAATACAAAAATTAGCCGGACGTGGTAGCGTGCACCTGTAATCCTAGCTACCCGGAAGGCTGAGGCAGGAGAATGGCGTGAACCCGGCGGGAAGAGGTTGCAGTGAGCCAAGATCGCACCACTGTACTCCAGCCTGGGCGACAGAGCAAGACTCGGTCTCAAAAAAAAAAAAAAAAAAAAAAAAAAAGAGGCAGGCCTTACTCCGTCCCAAACTGAAAGGATTAAATGGCTTTACCTGGGAGAAGATAACCATCCTGCCCTCCATTGCTACCCCCACATACTGTCCATGTTCTCAGGGGGTACTGTGAGTCCTGGGATCTTTGGGGTTGCCCACCTGCCTGTGGTAGTTATGGAGACCCCCAGGTGTTGAGGCAGGGCTGGGGTGTCCCCTTCCAACCAGGCTGTCAAGGCCCCAACTCTGGGGCAGAGGCAGTGGCAGGGCAGCCAGGGTTGCGCCAGAGCCTGAGCAGGTTGAGGTGGGGTCAGGCAGGGCTGGGAGTCAGGGCAGGGGCAGCAGCAGTGGACCCGCTATGCACACATCTTCTTCTCCAAGGTTTGTGTGCAGAACATCCTGCCCATGCTGCCCCAGCAGCTTCAGTTGGCACCTGCCCCAGTCCAGCCTCGGAACCATGCAGCGGCTCCCAGCGGCCCTGCACCCACCACCAGCATCCGTTTCACCTGCAGTTGAAGATCCGTGAGGTGCCCAGAAGATCATGCAGTCATCAGTCCCACGGAGCAGCCCGCGAGGCTGAGGCTCCTCCCACTGGACCGCCCCCCAACTGGCACCACTGCTGCCCCTGCCCCTACTCTCAGCCTCACGTGACTCTCGGGCACAGGCAGTGGTGGGGCGGCCAGGGCAGCGTCAAGAGTCTGAGCCAGGTGAGGTGCGGTCAGGACCCCCACAGGGCTGGGAGTCAGGGCTGGGGCAGAACAAACCTTGGAGGGGAAGATGTGTGCATAGTGGGCCTGGAGGGCGGCTGTGGCCTAGTGGACAGGAAGAAGCAGTGGGCCTGGAAGAGCTGCATGATCAGGGCCGGCACTGGTCCAGGGCACGTGCAGTGAAGAGGACAGCGCCTTCTTGGTCTCCGGTTCCCTGAGCCTGTCCTCGGCTTCTCCACCTGTACAGGCAAAGGGGAAGCTGTCCCCATCACACATGGCACACTTGGGGGTGTTGGGCTTTGGACTGCAGCTGGAGCATCTTCTCATCTTGCATTTGGGCGTGGTGGGGTCCTCCAGTGTGGGATCCATGTCCGTGGGGTTCCCTCTGCCCCGACCCCGAAAGCCCAGTCAATTTCTCTTCAGGCTCTGCCCCCCGGGTGGCTCAGCCCAGCTCCTGCCTAGGAAAGCCTTAGTGTTGGGAGGGACCCTGATGACTGAGGAGCCTGGTAGCTCCAGGTCACCCACACTTTCAGGTCTCTTGCACCAGAAGGTGGCAGGATCCATTGGGAGGAAACAGGTCACCTTGGAAGGCATCCCTGGGCCCCCATCCCCAGGGGTAGGGGCCGTAGGGGGCCCGCTCTGCTGCCTTGACCAGACTCCTGGGCTTTGAAGGCTCCTGGGCCCAGTAAGAAGGAGGTGGGTGCCAAGGTTGAGGAGGAAGCATCCAAGTATGTGTTGGAGGAGGACAGGGTGGGACCATAGACTTTGCCAAAAGCTGCAGGTGGATCGGGGGACCCTGGGGGCTCAGGATCCAGCAAGGGGCGGCAGGAGTAAAGGAGGAAGGAATGACAGGTGCAAATACCTTCCCACCAAAGCCCTTGTTGCCCTCTGGCTCCTCCCCAGAGTTGTCCCCACTCTCAGTCGGTCACCCACTCCTTGAACTTGAGATCGGTGTCGGTGGTGCTAAAGCCATCATCAGCAATGACATCATCACCCCCTCCTCCTCATGGATGACCGTGTGCTCCTCGTCACTCGCTGTGTCCTCACCGGCCATGTGCTGGGAATGAGCAGCTCAGGTGGGCAGCAGCAGGGCTGCCCACGGGTCACCTCCCTCACCAGGGGCTGCAAAGTGGCCTGGAGCTCCATGCTGAGTAGAAGGCTTTGGGCCAGAGTATGATGCAGTGCCAGACACCACCTGTGTCAGTTCCCGTAGTGCCTGGCGGTCTATTTCCCTGCCGTCCAGGCTGTGTACCCCTCTGTGGGAGAAGGCTTGGGCCAGGCTGAGCCAGGTTCCCTGACTGTGTGCAGCTGTTCTGCCCCACAGAAGCTGCTCCTTGGTATCCGAGCTCTGGAGTGTTTGGGCTGCAACTGACAGGAGTTCAGAGGACACCCCAGGGGCAGTGGCAGTGCCCGTCTCTGATATGCTCCGCTCCCACGAGCCCTTGTTACACTCCTGCTAGCCCCTGGCTTGTGGGCTTGGCCTCTGAGCTGGACTTCTTTCGGTCCTTGTTGCAAGTGGGCCACCTTCACCTGGAAGGCCAGGTTGTATTTCTGCATCTCATTGGGCCCCAGGGTGTACCACCGCTCGCTCAGCATCTGGCTGATGGTCTGGTTATCCTGGTTAGGGTGACCCTGGTGCGCCCTGCCAGGGCCTGGTGCCGCTTGCTGAAGATCATGACCGCCACTCATGGGCCACCAGATGTGGTCCTTGTCCCATTTGTTGGGGTTGCGTCCATCCTTATCAGAAGATGAGTCCTGTTCCTTGCGCAGGGCACTGAGGGACTGGGCCTGACATCATCTGAGTGGTAGAGGCAACTGGGTGTCAGGAGACATGATGGAGAGGAAAGCATCATCATGGTCATTCTCTGTCTCACTGTCCAGCAGGGACTCTCCTGAGGGGCCCAGGGCTCCTCCTCCATGGTGGGAGGTGAGCTTTTACCAGGTTCCACCACCCGCAAAGTGTGTGGGGTTGCAGGCCCTGGGCTTTCAGGGCAGATGGCTCCAGGGGGCCGCCCAGGGTCAACACTCCCTGTCCCACCTGGTGGACGCTCATGAGCAACAGCTGCCAACTTGGCAGGTTGTTTTCTCTGGTTGGAGGCCACTGAGTGACTGGCAGGTTGCTGGGCCTCGTGTGGCTGCGGGGGGTGCGTCAGGAAGGGGATGGAGTACCAGGGGAACACGGCCACAGAGTGAACTTCCACATTCCTCCACACGAACATGCTGACGCCACGGGAGGCCTCACTGAACGCAGGCCTGAGGGCCGAGTACTTGGTCCGGGCAGGGGGTTCCTGGCAGGGGCTCACACCTCCTCGCCCCCTCCTCAGCCAAGGTGGCTTGGGCCCAGAGAAGGGGAGGTTGGAGAGGAGCAGAAGGCCAGGCCTCAAGTTTTGTTTTTTTTGTTTGTTTTGTTTTTTGTTTTTGAAATGTAGTTTGACTCTTGTCACCCAGGCTGCAGTGCAGTGGCACGATCTCAGTGGCCTTCATACCTGGCTAATTTTTTGTATTTTTACTGGAGGTGGGGTTTTGCCATGTTGGCCAGGCTGGTCTTGACCTCCCGACCTCAGGTGATCCACCCACCTCGGCCTCCCAAAATGGGATTACAGGCATGAGCCACCGCTCCCAACTTCATTCATTTTTACTTGAAAAACTCCCTTAAGCATTTTTTTAAGGTAGACCTACTGGTCCTGAATGCCCTCAGCTTTGTTTGTCGAGGAAACACGTTACTTCTTCTTTCTTTCTGAAGGACAGCTTTGTCAGACATAGTATTAGTTGCTGGCAGTTTTTTTCTTTCAGCACTTTGAATGTATTATTCGATTCTGTCCTGACCTGCAAAGTTTCTTTAACTTTTGACTATTTGATTATATTGTGACTTGGTGAGTATCTATTTGGTTTGAACCTCTTTAGGAATCTTTAAGCTTCATGGATTTAGATGTCTAAATCTTTCCCATGATTTAGGCAGTTTTCAGCCATTCTTTAAATAAGCTTTCTTCTCCTTTCTCTACTTTCCTTCTCAAACTCCCATAACCTGACAATGGTTTGCCTAATGGTGTCTTGTTGGCTTTCTTTTCTCTGTCTCTTTTTTTTTCTTTTTTTTTTTTTTTTGAGACAGAGTCAGAGTCGTGCTTTGTCACCCAGGCTGGAGTGCAATGTGTGGTCTCGGCTCACATTGCACTCCAACCTCCGCCTCCTGGGTTCAAGCGATTCTCCTGCCTCAGCCTCCCAAGTAGCTGGGACTACAGGTGTGTGCCACCACACCCGGCTAATTTTTGTATTTTTAGTAGAGATGGGGTTTTGTCACGTTGGCCAGGCTGGTCTTGAACTCCTGACCTCTTAATCTGCCTGCCTCGGCCTCCCAAAGTGTTGGGATTACAGGCTTGAGCCACCACGCCCAGCCTTCTTTTCTCTTTTTTATTCTTTTTTTCTTTGTTCTCTGACTGGATAATTTCAGAAGATCTATATTCAAGTTTACAGATTCTCTCTCCTGTTGAAGTTTACTATTGTGTTATATCACCCAGTCTGGTCTTGAACTCCTGGGCTCAAGCGATCCTCCCACCTTGGCCTCCCAAAGTGCTGAGTTTACAAGCATGAGCCACTGCATCCAGTCAGTCCCAGCACTTTGGGAAGCTGACGTGGGAGGATCACTTGAGCTCAGGAGTTTGAGACCAGCCTGGGCAACATACTGAGAACTTGTCTCTATATTAAAAAAAAAAAAAAAAAGTCTTTGGGAGGCCAAAGCGGGAGGATCACCTGAGGTCAGGAGTTCGAGACCAGCCTGGCCAACATGGCAAAACCCCATCTCTACTAAAAATACAAAAATTAGCCAGGTGTGGTGGCACACACCTGTAGTGGTGGTGCATGCCTGTAGTCCCAGCTACTCAAGAGGCTGAGGCAGGAGAATCACTTGAACTGGGAGATGGAGGTTGCAGTGAGCTGAGATTGCACCAGTGCACTCCAGCCTGGGCAACAGAGTGAGACTCCATCTTATAAAAGGAAAAAAGAAAGAAAAGAAAAATTCCATATCTGAGTGTTTACTCCTGAGTTTTTGAGATTGTTATTAAGATCGTGCTCTACTGTGATGATTTAGGTTTGTTTGATAATCAGAAAAAAGCATATTCTTTTGGGTGTTCAGCCACACTGCTTTGGTGTCACAACTGCACATTGGTTTCACAGTTGCAGGACAAATTCGAGCATCTTAAAATGATTCAACAGGAGGAGATAAGGAGGCTCGAGGAAGAGAAAAAACAACTGGAAGGAGAAATCATAGATTTTTATAAAATGAAAGCTGCCTCTGAAGCACTGCAGACTCAGCACTGATACAAAGAAAGACAAACATCGTAAGAAGCAATAGTTTCTCTTACTATTCTGAGAGCCTTATCATTCTACATCCCATCTTCCTGTGAGATTGTCTTTGTAGCATTTAACTCTAATTGCAGTTCTCTTTTTAAAAATTGGCTTGCTTATTGTATATTTTCCCCAACTAAAGCGTGAACTCCTAGCAGGGCGTGGTGGCTCATGCCTGTAATCTCAGCACTGTGGGAGGCCGAGGTGGGTCGACTACCTGAGGTTAGGAGTTTGAGACCAGCCTGACCAACATGATGAAACGCTGTCTCTACTAAAAATACAAAAATTAGCTAGGTGTGGTGGCTGGGACCTGTAATCCCAGCTACTTGGGAGGCTGAGGCAGGAGAATCACTTGAACCCTGGAGGTGGTGGTTGCAGTGAGCCGAGATCTCACCATTACACTCCAGCCTGGGCGACAAGAGCAAAACTCCATCTCAAAAAAAAAAAAAAAAGGATGAACTTGAAGGCAGGTCCTGTGTCCATCTTTTCAGATTCTGTATCCCAGCACTTAGGACATAGACAAACACGAAGATGACAATCAATATTTGCCAAAATGAAAAAACAAAAGAAACATGTAACATCATGTAAAAGAAGCTGGTTAGGTGGAGAAATTTCTTTACCATAGTCTTGCTTGTGGATCCAGTAGTGACTTTTACATTTTATATCTAAATAGAAGCTGGAGGCTTTGTTGGGTACTCATAGGCATAAAATATTATGTTATTTATTATAGAGTTAAATGCTACAAAGACAAATCTAATTAATAGGCCTATTTTCCTTTTTAAGTTCTACTCATAATTTCTTCATAGTTTTTATGATAAAAGGTTGGATTTTGATTAGAACTCCCATGCTTTTGTGTCAGAATTAAAACTGGTATTAGAATAAATAATTCAAAAGCTAGAGAAAGAGTACAATGAGAAGCCATGAGTTGCATTTGAATTATAATATTATGTCTTACAGATTTGGGGTATATGCTAAAGTTACCAAAGTTGTAGAAAATAAGGCTGGGCATTGTGGCTCACATCTGTAATTCCAGCACTTTGGGAGGCCGAGGTAGACGGATCATTTGAGGTCAGGAGTTCAAGACCAGCCTGGCCAACATGGTGAAACTCCGTCTGTACTAATAGTACAAAAATTAGCCAGGCGTGATGGTGTGCACCTGTAGTCCTTGCTACTCAGAAAGCTGAGGCAGGAGAATCGCTTGTACCCAGGAGGCAGAGGTTGCAGTGAGCAGAGATTGTGCCACTGCACTCCAGCCTGGGTGACAGAGTGCTATGAGTCACCACACCTGGTATGAGCCACCGTGCCTGGCCCACAATGACTTTTACACATGTTGTTAAATCATCTTACAGATTTTATAATTTGGGGGAAGAAAAGTTTTACTAAATGGTCTTTTAATGGAAACTCTACAAGAACCAGAATCTTTGCTTTGTTCACTTATGTATCCATTCCTAGGCCTAGAAAAATGTCTGACACATAGCGGCAATTATTCATTGAATAAATGGACCCAGCGATAGTACATTAGCTGTGCTATATGCATACATTAAAGATGTAGATTATTGACTTTCAAAAGATAATTAATGTAACTTCTTACTGCTTCTGAACATGTTTGTGAGTTATATTGCTGAGGGACCTTTATCTTCTCATTCTTTCATCTTAACCCAGTGTTATAAAATTGAAATCACCAATATTATTCCATATCTAAAATTAATATCTACCTTGTAAAAAATATCACTCTGCTGCATTTGACAATAGACTTTTTAGGTAATAATGATGCAATCCATAGGGTTTTTTGGGGGCACAGAGGGATTCATGCTAACAGAACATTTTATTTTCTATTTTCCCAGAGCTGTAAAACATGAAATTGGGGTAGTATAAGGCATATTTTTACTCTTTTTATAATTTTTTCTAAAAAAAATTAGTGTTTGTTCCCTATATAACTTTTAACTTTATAGGTAAATATTTGTCTCTTTCAGCTCCAGTTTTATGTGAAATAGAGTTTTCAGATTTATGTAGCATGGAAAGTTTTAATACGTCAGAGTTACTGATTTTTGCCATTTTCTCAATTATTTCTTTTTTATCTTTAGTTGATTTTTTTGTAGTGACACATTTTGTTTCTAGTCTCATTTCCTTTTGTTTATATTCTGTGTATATTTCGTTTTTGGTTACTATGAGAATTACATATAACATCCTAGAGTTATAACATTTTAATTTGAATTTATTTCAACAAGTTCAATCACATACCAAAATTCTACTGCTATACATATAGCTCTACTCTTTTTATGTTATTGATGTAACAAATTATATCTTTATTCATTGTATACCAGCTAACAGATTTACAGTTACATTTTATGCATTTGCCTTTTAAATTATGTAGAAAATAAAAAGCAGAGTTAGAAACCAAAATTACAATAGGACTGTTTTTATGTTTGTTTATGTATTTACCTTTACCAGAGAGCTTTGTATATTCATACAGCTTGCTTATTTACTTATATAGTTATTGCCTAGAGTTCATTTATTTCAACCTGAAGGACTTAACACTTCTTGAATGGCAAATTCAGGGATAAATGGATTTTTTTTCAGTTTTAAAAAAAAATCCGGAATTGTCTTAATTTCTCCCTCATTTTTGAAGGATAAGTTTTCCAGCTATAGATTTCTCAATTGACAGGTTTCTTCATTATTTTAAATATATAATCGACTGCCTACTGGCCTTCAAGGTTTCTGCCGAGAAATCAGCTGCTAATGTTATCTGGATCCCTATCTGTGAGAGTTGCTCTTCTCTCTGAGTTTTCAACATTCTCCCATTATCTTTTGTTTGTTTGTTTTTGAGACAAATAATTGTACATATTCATGGGATACAGAGTGATATTTTGATACATGTATACAATGTCCAATGATCAAATAAGGATAATTAGCATATCCATCACCTCAAATATTTGTCATTTATTTGTATTGTGAACAGTCAACATTCTTTCTTCTAGTTTTTTAAATTTATAAACATTTAAATTTTATTACAGAAATTTAAATTTTTTGATTCTGAAAAAGTCATATATGTATGCAACATCGTTTTATCATTTATTTATATATTTATGCATCTTTCCTTTTAGTTTTGACAGAGATTTTCTATTTTATTATTATTTCAAAAGAACTCTTACCTGTATTTATTTATCAATTATATTTCCCTTGTTTTTTCCTAGTATATTAATTTATTTACTTATCTTCTAAAAATCCTCCATATAATCTGTTTTGTTTCCTTTCTATAATTTCTTCAATGATTAGTTCTGTTCTATTTTCCATTAAAATATTTAAATCTCATATGAATTTTTGTCAGATTAGAAATTTAGGGCATTTCTTAATTTCTCTATATTCTAGCTTTTGACTTTTTTTTTCTGACCTAAGAGGTATTTAGAGCACATTTTAGATTTTTTATTTTGACTAATCATTTAAAATGTGTACTAATCTTCAATTTAAATAAAAAACTGGTCTATAGTGACAAAAATTACAAATGAGCCTGACTAATAAATTATCAGCTGTGTTTATATGTATAAGCATGCACAGATTTTGGTAAGTATGTACATAGTATATTGGTGAGCTTATTTTTGTCATTCTTAACTCATTGTGTAGTCTAAACGCTGGGGAAAAAATAAAATACAATAATCAGATGGTGTGAATAAGAAAATTGTTCTACTGTTTGTAAACCAAGCAACGGTTTTAACTGCTCCCCTCTTCCTGATTGACTTCCAAAAGGGATTAATCCATATTGGGTCCTATCATATATGTCACGGTATAACATCTCCAGCTATAAAATGGAAATTTGAGAATAACTTTGCTGCTACTCAGATACATTTTATTTCAAAAACATACACTAAGGTGTTGCTGTTGGATCTTTCCAAAAACATATTCACACAGAACTTTCAATCACACTGAGCCATATTTGAACAATCTTTCAGGGTCAGCTCTGGCATAAGCTAACATTATACCATTTAACTCAGAAATTTCTTTAGTATTTGATTAATGAGTTTATGTTTGATATGTAATGTAATTTTCTAATGCTAAATCAAGTGGTAATTTTGTTAGTCAAGTTGATTTAGTGGCTTGGGAAGAAAGCTTTTAATGTTCCCCTAATTTTTCTTACCTTTGACATGATCCTTCACTGTCTTATTTTGCTTACTGATTTTTCTTTTTTTTTTTTTTTGAGACAGGTTCTTACTCTACCACCCAGGCTTGAGTGCAGTGGTGTGATCACAGCTCATTGCAGCCTTGACCTCCCAGACTCAAGCTATTCTTCCACCTCAGCCTCCCAAGTAGCTGGTACTACAGGCACATGCCACCAAACTTGGCTAATTTTTGTATTTTTTGTAGAGACAGAGTTTTGCCAAATTCTCAGGCTGGTCTGGAATTTCTGGGCTCAAGTAATCCTGCCTTGGCCTCCCAACATGCTGATATTACAGACATAAGCCACAGTACCTGGCCAGTTTTCTTTTTTTAAAAATCTATTGGTTATTAATTTGAAGCCTTCCTTTTCATAGCTGTGCTCCTTAATTGGGAGCAAACATGAATGGACCACAACTTAGCCAATTTTCTATATACAATCTTTGCCATCCTAATTTAAAGGGATATTAATTCTTTCTTTTCCTCTTTCATTCCACAAACCTGTATTGACTACATCTAAGTTCTAAATGGTGCACTGGATGTTGAAAAAGTTGATGAGCAAGAACAAAATTCCTCCTTTCAGGAGACTTACAGTTCAATATGGGAAACATAATTTGTTAAAATATAAAAGTGCAATTGTGTTACATGCTGTACGAAGTACATGTTGACATGTGAGTATATAATAAATGGGCTGGAGGCCAGAGGATTGCCAAAGAGAATGGGCCTCCTGCTGAGATGAAAAGTTGAGCAGGGATTAGTTGGCGAAAGTGGAGGGACGACTCTTTCTAGGCAGGAGGAAGAACATGTACAGAACCTCTGAGGTGTGATGCGACAAAGTCTATACAAAAAACTGAAGAAAGGTCTAATGTGGCTTAAATACAGAAGCCAGTAGGAGAGGAGTTGAAAAGAGGCTGGAAAAGTAGAAAGTGTCTGCATTCTGCAGGAACTTATATTGTATAAAAAGAATTTCTCTTTATTCTAAGTGCAATGTGAAGCCAATGAAGTGCTTTAAACAGGTGATGCGATTTGATTGAATTTATTACTTCACTTAACAAATATTCATTACATGCCCACTGTTTGTCAGATATTGCTGTAGCCCCTGGTGATACAGTAGGGAATAAAACAGGCAAAAATCCCTGTCCTCTTGCAGCTTATAATGGACTGCAATGTTTAATATGTCAGAGGAGGTCCACGGAGGAGTGACTTCTAAGCAAGAATCTGAAAAAAATGAGGATATCTAAGGAGGGAACAAATGGTTCAAAAGCCCTATAATTGCAAGCAGGCATGATGAAGCAATTGTAGTTGTCCTGACTCTCAACACCGTGGAACTCAAAGGAGATGGAAAGATTCTTTCTCTCCCTCATATATTTTCTCTCTGTCTATATATATAGAATATGAGACATTTCCCTGATCATTATGTGTAATTACAATTACATATATATATGTTTATATATTACATACATATATATATGTAATTGTAATTACACATAATGATCAGGGAAATGTCTCATATTCTCAGAAATAAGCAATATAGCAATTACTGTTTTTTACATTTTACAGTTACAGTTTCAGAGAAAGTTTGATATTTATCTAAAATTTTTCAATGTATGAACTTTTTCATTTGGCAAACCATAATTGTACATATTCTTGGGATACAGAGTGATATTTCTTTACATGTATAGAATGTGTAGTGATCAAATCAGGGTAATTTCCACTAATTTAAAATGCCACCTTTATGTTATTGTAATTTATATATATACTATATATATACACACACACACACATATATATATACATGTCCACATACAGTGTGTGTGTGCACATGTACACACATGCATATGTGTATATAATGCCCAGTATAAGCAATGTGCACAAATAAAATTAGCTAACAGAGATAGTATAGAGTGAGAGGAGAGGCAGATTAATCTTTGAGGAAAAGCACAATTTTATGGCTGAATGGAGAAAGCTGAGGTGGTTTCTAAGATGGAGAATAAGACGAAAAATGTAAGTACGTTGTTTGACTGAATTCAAGAAAGAAGGGTAAAAGAGAAGAAAGTAGTGGTCTTATCATTAAATGCCACAGAGAGGTAAAGATAAAAACAACGTATTGTTTTGGGTTTAGTAATTTAAGGGTTACAAAATTCCGTTTTGGAGGAGGAACAGATTCCATGTCCACTAGAATGGAATGAACAAGAAATGGAGGAGGAAAATAGGTAGTTTTTCAAAAGTTTTCAAAAATATGAAAAGAAGAAATGAAATGGTACTTGGAAGAGATTGTTGAAATGGGAGAGACTATGGTGGCTTGTTTAGAAGCAGTTGAGATAGATCCAATTGAGATAAGAGATATTGACTATATAAACAAAAGAATGACAAATTAATAGTGTAATGGATAACTTGACTTTGGCAAATATTGTGAATTTTTGTGAAAGTACAACTAAAAGGCAATGTCACTCCAATAATCGCCAGAGTAATCAATTTGCTTATTGCTGTCCCTTTAAATATAGTTCTCTGGTATCAACTAACATGTTTTTAACTAATGATGCTTCTTAAAGAAAAGGGAAAAGACCTTTTTCTTTCTTTCAGTCCTCAATGATTCACTGCTTCATCTCGCTCCACCAAAGATAAATGAAATCTACATCTCTTATACATTAACAATGCATGACAATTTATAAATAGCTAAATTTTTGGAGCTAACTTTAAGTACCTGAATGGAATTTAATCAACCCACTAATCTCCTTCTCACTTCTCAGTTATTTATCAAGTTTATGTCAAGGGACAAGGAAAAATTATCCAAACATTGTTTAAAACAATCATCATTAATTAGTAACACTTATCCAGGGGGGTTTTTAACCTTTCCCCCACTCAAGGATTATTCTAATGTCAGAGTAGAATAAAAAATAAGTGCAGCGATGCTGACTCTTCCAAGCTTAACATTTCTCACAAGTCAATTAGCTTTGTACTGGGAGGAGGGCGTGAAGGGCTGCTTGCGGTAGTTGTGTAGCAGCAGCACAATGGCCGCAGACAAGGAAAACAGTTTCTAGGAATTCCTCGTATATAATTTTATATTTTTGACAAGATTAATGACCCATGCTCCCTTCCTCTCCATTTCTTTTTTTGGAGTTCTGTTGGTATGTAGTTACTGTATTTTATTAAAGGAAATTAGCCTTATCTCTTATTATATTTTAATAAAGAAAATTATTATATTATTCCTTTATATTTTTATTAAAGGATTTTATTATTATTATTAAAGGAAATTAGCCTTATCTCTTATTATATTTTTTATGACCTTCAAAGTAGTGTCTCTGCTTAAAAGTGTACCCTGGCCGGGCGTGGTGGCTCACACCTGTAATTCCAGCACTTTGGGAGGCCGAGGCGGGTGGATCACGAGGTCAGGAGATCGAGACCATCCTGGCTAACATGGTGAAACCCCGTCTGTACTAAAAATACAAAAAATTAGCAGGGCATAGTGGCGGGCGCCTGTAGTCCCAGCTACTCAGGAGGCTCAGGCAGGAGAATGGCGTGAACCCGGGAGACGGAGCTTGCGGTGAGCTGAGATCGCACCGCTGCACTCCAGCCTGGGCGACAGAGCAAGACTCCGTCTCAAAAAAAAAAAAAAAAAAGTGTACCCTGAAGCACACATCAAGCGACATGTAGAGTTCATAAATTCTGGCCAAATGGTCATACCTCAAACCTCATCAGCACTAAGGCTCTTTACTTGCACTGACAAATATTGAACGCTGGGGAATTTGGAAATGATATATAATATATAATATTATATATATAATGGATATATAATATATAAGATATAAGATATAATATATATGTAATAGATATACAATGTTATATATATAATAGATCTATAATATTATATAATAGATATATAATATATGTACAATAGATATATAATATATAATAGATATATAATATATATATAATAGATATATAATATTATATATATAATAGATATATAATATTATATATATAATAGATATATAATATTATATATATAATAGATATATAATATATAACTTTCCATGTGATTTTCCTCTTAATTTTTTTCTAGCTGATCCATATGAATTCCTCTTATTAAGAAAAATAAAGCATCCAGGATTCAATGAAGAACTGACTATCACCTTGTTAATCATTCAGAAACATGTTGCAGACTTAAGCCATTTTTGATATAGATACTGAAACAATTACTTGCTAAGAGCAAACTTGAAGGTATGGATAAGGCCCTGAGTCATCTTCCTGAGCTGAATGATAGTTAAGCTGAATGTACGTATAAAATATGATTTTCTAACCACTTGCTCGCCAACAAGGAAGACTTTTAAGTAGAGCAGAACCTGAATAGACAAGACATTTCTTTCTTTTGGTAGAAAATGATTTACCATCACTGTCTAGTTAATTGTAGACTAGGTAATTTTAACTTTGTGATTTATTGCCAGAGACATTTTCTTCTGTACTGTAAAGTGTGTGTCAAAAAAAAGTAGCGATTTTGGAGGATTAGGGGAGTTTGATAAATTGCCTGCAATTCTGGCAGTATGAACTGCATATTAATTTCTCTCTTTCAAGAACATTTTTATTTATTAATTCCTTACAAAAACTCCCTGAACTTTGGAACAGCTCTCAATTGCCTGTATTCTTTTTTTTCTTATTATGGTACTCTTCTAGAGATTTGGCTTGCATCTATGAATAAGCCAGGACATCTTCAGAAATTGTCTGATTAAAAACACCACCAATGGAGTTGCATTAAATTTGTATTGCTCTGACTAGTGAAACACACACATCTATGTTGCTGAGGATATTTTACTGCAGTTTGAGTTGTAATAATAGCTCTGTTTAAGATCCGTCAGTCACTTGAATCTTCTCTAAGGCTTTGTATGTTAGAAGTTAATTTTGCCTTCTTACAAGGCCACATTCTATCTTGTAACTAAACAACTGAATTTTATGTCTTAGCGTAGATGGTTTATTACTTTCTGGTTTTTCTTTAGTAAGAATCCTATAAAAACACTAGTATTTTTCTCTGAGTTTAAAATTCAACACATGCCTACTGATATGGTTAGGCTTTGTATCCCCACCTGAATCTCATCTTGAATTGTAATCCCCATAGCCCCCATAATCCCCACAGGTCAAGGGAGAGACCAGGTGGAGGTAATTGAATCATGGGGGCAGTTTCCCCTGTGCTGTTCTTGTGATAGTGAGTTCTCACGAGATTTGATGGTTTTATAAGGGATTCTTTCCCCTTTGCTCGGCACTTCTTCATGCTGCCTTGCGAAGAAGCTGGCTTGCTTCTCTTTGTCTTCCGCCATGATTGTAGATTTCCTGAGGCCTCCCAAGCTGTGCTGAACTGTGAGCCAATTAAACTTCTTTCCTTTATAAATTACCCAGTCTTGGGCAGTTCTTTATAGCAGTATGAAAACAGACAAATACACCTACTATGTAAAACTTAAAATACAAAAAAACAAAACATTATCTCACTAACATAGGAGCTAATATTTTGGTGTACTTTGTTTAGTATTTTATATTAAAAATATGTACATATATATTTATATATAATTAAGAACATGTATGTACAATCGTGCATACATCATGTACATACATCTACTTAAGAAAATAGCTATGTAATATACCATTACTCAACTAGATTATAATTTTTTCTCCATTTATTGTAATTTATCATTTTCTACTTTTTTGTTTTCTCATTTTTATTGCATAATATTTAATTATGCAAAAAATACATTAAATACATTGAAAATATATAGTGTAGCTATAAGAATAAAGAACGATGGTAAAACAAATGCTAATACCCACTACCTGACTTAAAGAATATGATACTATTTTTTTCCAATTGAAATCCCCTCAACTACTCAGAATTACTGCTATCCCTTTTATCCTTTCATTAATTTTCTTCTAGTTTTCTCACATGTGAATCTATTTCTAAATACATTTCTTTATTTTGCAAGTTTTTGGACTTCATATAAACGTAACCATATTGTATATATTCTTCTTCAGCTTCTTTTTCACTAAACAATATGTTTTGCTGATACTTACATTCATATGTACAGTAATAGTTGATTTATTTTAATTGCTATATATTATTCCATTGTTAGAATACACCAGGATTTATTTTTACTTATTTTTTTTGCTGGAAAATTGGGTGTCTTTTTTATTTTTTGATATAACAAACAATGTTGTAATCATTTTGTATTTACTTCCTAGTCCACTCCTGTAAGTTTCTCTTGAGTACATACTAGCAATGAAGATGCTGAGTCACTGCATATACATACTCACAACTTTATTCTATAATGTAATATTCTATAAAGTAGCTGTATCAGTTTATACTTTAACCAGTAATGGACAAGATTTTCTGTTACTTCCCATCTTTGTTAATTATTACTTTTAGACTCTAACTTTTATCAGGCTCATGGATGTAAAAAGCATCTCAGGGTGGTTTTAATTTGCATTTATCTGCTCATCTATGAAGATGAGCTTCTTTTCATATAATTATGAGTCATTATTTTTGTTTTGCCTTCTTTTGTTTATGCATTTTGCTTGTTCTATGTGTTATTTTTCCTGTTGATTTTTGGGGGTTCATATATATTCTAAGTGTATATTTATTCACTCATATATATGTTGCAAATATTACAGTTTATGATTTGTCACCTTATGATATCATCCAAATAGAGAAGCTTTATATTTTGATGTAGTCATATGTTCATTTTTACTCCTTAATGTTTGTTTTTCTTGGTTCTATGACCTACCAAAAGTAACAAAAATTCTCATTTATTTTTAATCTAAATGTTTTAAGTATTTTCCTGGAATTCACCTTGAATTGATTTCTATTGGAGATAGGTATCCAATCTAATTTGCCTCATATGGATAACCGCTTGTTCTATTACTGCTGTAACAAATTTCTACAAACTAAGTGACCTAAAATAACACAAACTTGTCATCTTACAGTGTACACAAGTCAGAAATCAGGCATGAATTTTAGTGAACTAAAATCAAGTTGTCGACAGGCATGTTTCTTTATGGCGGCTAGGGTAGAATCCATATCCTGGCCTTTTCTATCTTCTAGAGAACATCAGCATTCCTTTTCTCATTGCCTCTCCTCTCTCTTTTTAAAGCTGGCAATGTCACATTTCTCTGACCATTCTTTCATTGTCACATCTCTCTCTGGACTCAGCTAAGAAAGGTTCTCCATTTTTAAGAATTCATGTGATTAGACTGGGCCCATCTGGATAACCCAGGAAGATCTCTCCATCTCGGTTTGCATCCTTAATCACATCTGATGAGCCTTTATTGCATTCAGTGTAACATATTCACAGGTTCCAGGGTTAGGCATGGGCATCTTTGAGGGCCATTATTCTCCCTACCACATTATTTGCCTAGCATCTTTCATTACATTGTCCATCTATTTACTTACTGATTTCTAATGACATCCAAATCAGGTACAACATTTTATGTAAGCATTGTTTTTATTTTTATGTTATTCCACTAGTCTATTTTTCTACTCATGAATTATGGTACATGAGTTTATTTTTGCAACTTTAAGCTCAATAACATGTTTTAAGATTTCCTCAACTTTCTTTTTCCACTTCTTCAGAAGTTGACTCTTTTGGCCCTTTGGTCTTCTGTACACATTTTAGAAATGCTTTGTTGAGGACTAAGAGGAATGCTAAGATTTTGATAGGAATTTCATTGATTTTTGAGTATATTGGCATGCTACAATGGTTAGTGTTTTATACATGAAAATAATATATCCCTTCCTCTTTTCCTAGTATCATGAGATGTTTGTTAGGCAGACATGAATATTGAGTTGTATCAAATGTGTTTTTCTGCGTTATTGTGGTGGTGATGTGATTTAGCTCCTTTAGTTAATGTAATGAATTACATTTGTAGATTGCTCTAACTATTGAAACAAGCTTGAATTTCTGGAATAAGCCCAATGTGATATTTATTCAACAAATATTCATTGAGTATACCTAGTATGTAACATGCTTTAAGAATACGCCAGTGAACCAAACAGAAATATCTGACATTACAGAACTTAACATTCCAGTATTTGGAGACAGACGATAAAAAAGTGAACATGTATATTTACAGTTTGTCAAGGAATGATAAATGAAGACTCTTAAAGTAGATGGGGAATTGGGAGTGAAGTCTGTAAGTTAAATAGGGTGGGCAGGAAAGCTTCACAGAGAATGGGACATTTAAGAATAGACTTGAAGGACAGGCAAGAGCAATCTCTATGTTTATATGGGAGAAAAGGTTCCAGGCAGATGCAGTAACAATGGAAAATATCCTGAAGTAGGATCATGCTGGAGTTTTTGTGGAGCAGCAAGGAGGCTAGTGTGACTGCCACAGAATCACCCAAGGGAAGATGAGAAGATCAGACCAGACCAGCACTTGGGCATCTAAATGGGAAAAGTTTCTCAAGCCATCATAAAAATTTCACTTTTACTATAAATACTACGAGAAACCATGGATGTTTTACAGTAAGAAAGGTGGCATAATATGTTACATGTTTTAAACAAACTCTATAGCTTCTGAGTTGAAATAGATTGTAGGGGCTCATGGCAGAAGCAGAGGGAACATTTAGGAGACTACTGTAAAGAATATCATGAAAAGAACAAACAACGCTATGTAACATGCTTAAATGGACTGAAGAAGATGTATAAAATCAAAATGATGTTACCTTCACACCTTGAATCAGTACGATAAACCCCCCTCCCCAATCACAAAAGAAAAACTAAACACAAAAACCAGGCTTTGGTTGCTCAGACAATTTTACAGGTGAGTTCTAGCAAACAGGCAAAGAATGTTTAATTGCACTGTTACAGAAATTCTTCTGGAGACAAGAAAATAAGACACATCACCCAACCAATTTCATGATAACAATGTCAATGTATAATAACAAAAAAGTGGATCTCCAAAGAAATAAATTTATTTAGAAATAAACAAGGATTATAATCTGAGATATTTGTGCTATGATGAATCATAGGTGCATCCCAAGAGGTTGAGGTAAGGAAAATATTTAAAGACAAAAAGAAGTCTATGCAAGCTGTTTTGAAACAAACATCATTGGTCACAGGGCCTGATGCAGGAGCTGGTGTTAACTTACTGGCAGAAACAGCCATTGCTAGGCCAGTGTTCTTGTGAGGGTGGCTTATCTGAAATGCTGCAGTCTTGAGGAATTTTTTATGATAGGTCCTATTATAGAGACACCTACAGGATGAGCTGGACAAACAGAGTGTGCTGGGTGGGCAGAAATTTCTTGTGAGTTTATAGAAAGTCCTTGTGATAGTGCTTATCGTGGACACACACACAAGATCCCCTTTTTCACGACCCGGCTCCACTTTGCTTTGGGTCTGATGTAAGTGACTTTGCCTTGTCATTGGCAACTTTCACTGTAGTATAATCTGCACATTAAAGTTACCTAACAATAGTACAAAGAAAGAAAATTAAAGGTATATCTCTTTCAAAAATATAAACCCCAAAATTGTTAGGAAATTGTAGTGAGTATAAAAGATAATTCATTATAATAGACATCTCAAGCTTCACAGAATTCTGACCTTTGCTACACTCTCATCCACAATCTTTTCTCCTAGTAAATGGCAGCTCCTTCTGTTAAGTTGCTGAGGCTTCTTATTGCTTTTTTCTTCAAATAACAGTCAGAACTGAACAACTGTAATCATCCTAGTCCATACAATTGTTATATTTTCATTTAAAGAAGATCAATGTGTGATTCTTTTTTTTATATATTTCTGGACAATTCTTTATATTTTAATAGTAGTCAGAATTTGATCAGGAAAACAGAAGACATCCTATGTATTATAATGATAAAAGTTTAATATTAGTTAGGGCCTTATGCTATTATTGGAAGAGCTTGGTGAATAGATATTAGAAAAGCAGCTAGACAAAATCAGAAGAGGTCTGTTTTATATCAGAGATCTTAGCCTGACAGTCTAGAGTGTGGGCACAGAACCCAAGCTTATAGGAATTTCTGAAAGGTCTGTAAATCTTATCCAGATGGACAGTGGGAGCTCATAAAGAATTCTGCGAGCCATCACATCTGTCAAACCTGCTATGTCTAATCCTTAAGCCTGCTTTATGTGAAGACCTCCTCTTCACTCCTCACTTCCAGCTCTCATGAGTTTCTTTCATAGGCAAACCCAAACCTGGAACAATGTGCCTGAAGACTTCGGGTGACACAGTACCCAAACTTAAATAGGAGGGGAGCCATGGTGGAAGTGGCCATCCAGCACAATTTTCTTGGTCTTTACTCATAGTTTTGATTCCTTAAAAAAATTAACCACATTAAAATATGTGTTTCATAATCTACATCTAATAATACAAATATTTAAAGTCTTTTCAAGTTTGAATATGCTACCCATGTTGCTGCTACCCCCATTTTGTGTGTGTGATTTTTGTGTGTGTGTTAGAAGCTCATGACCTTTGAAACCTGCTCTTATGAGCTTGCTTTGATGATTTATTTGTCCAGAGAGGATTTTTTTTCCTACCTAGCATTTTGGACTGCTATCAACCTGAGACCACTTTGAATTAAATTCTCAGCTTGCAAATTTGGAAGCCACACAGATTGTGTGAGTTCAGGCTGAAACCTGTTTGAGAGCTGGATTCTGGCTATAAACTCCACAGGGAACATTTTCTCTCTCCACTCAGAGCTGAGACCATAGGGAAATTTATTTGCTAGCTCTTTTTGAAGGTTTATTTAATTTATTTTTTTAATTTCTAGTACACGTGCTCACTGAAGGTGTAATACTTATGTGAGAATCTCAAAATCAGTTGTGTTCTTTGTATGACCCTGGTTTTGTTTCCTCCTGCTCTCTTACTTTCAGTGTGTCTCAGTATGTCTGCTCAATATGTCATCTTAAATTTCAACTGAGGGTGGATCTTCTTCCCAGCTCACTCACATGGTTCTTAGCTAGATTCAATTTCTCTCCATTTGTAGGACTGAGGACCTCAGTTCTTCACTTAGGGTTGGCTACAGGTAATCATCAATTTCTTGTAACAGGACTTACACTGGGCCACTGACAGCATGCCAGTTGGCTTCATTCAAATGAGAGGGCAAGAGAAAGAGAGGGAGAGGGCACAAGATGAAATTCACAGTATCTTATAATCTAATCTCAGAAGTGGCATCTCATTACTTTTGTTCTATTCTATTCAATAGAAACAAATACCTGGGACCAGCTTATACTATAGGAAAGAGATTATATAAGGGTATAAATACCAAGAGGTAGAGATCATCAAGAGCCATTCTGGTAGCAGCCACAATATCTTATCCAGAATATTTCTTATTCAGGCCTTCAAATGTGCTGTCTTTTCTGGTCTAATGGAAATGAAGCTTCCTTCCATAAAATTTTCTTCTCCTAAATTGTACTCTGGCTCTCTTATCACATACAAACGTCTATGTTAGGTATTTGTGTCTGTCTTGATTCTTGGTAGGCTTTTAAACTCTGTGAATGTTGGACTGTGATGTAGACATCATTTCACCGCACACTCTGTAACCACCAAACCTTAGCAGCTTATTCAGTAAGCACATACTTGGCTCTTAATGAGTATTGCTTAAATTGATGAATTGAATTAGTATTTTACCTTCTCTGTTGCTTAGCTAAGCAGAAGAATTTGTCATTTTTTTAATTTAGTGACTGGTTCTATTAAAAGTTACCTTTGTTTATATCATTTTGTTATACTAAAGCACAAATGTATAAGGTCAAAAAACATTCTCAAGATTTTGTTTAAACCACAGCCGTCGGTTGTGTATATTTATCTCTTGTTTTCATATGCAAGATTTCTCCTGAAATGGGCAACAATTACAAGAGTTTTTTTCCTCTTCTGAACTAAGAAAATAAGTATTTAATTCACAAGTTTAGAAAAGTGAACCTGAAAAATCACAGGGCTAGGTGGGTCATGAGGCCCACTGGTACATGATAGTGTTGAATGTGGATTAGAATGAACTCCGTGGATTAGAATCTCAGACCATAGGCAAACATTTACTTGTTTTAGAATAAGCACATTTGAGTCTGCAATAAGTATTACTATTTTTAAGTTGAAAATGTAATTGGTTTCTAATAATAACCATATTGGCTAGCATTATTTCAATCGTGTTTAATGTTTTCCAATGTCATTTCATGTCAGATATCTCTCTTGATTCTTAGTAACAATTTGGACAAGACAGCAAATGCTATTGTCCAAGTTTTCTAAAGAAGAATCTGAAGTGAAATGACATCAAGAGACCTATCAAGACCTGTATCCAGGAAAAGGTAAATCTGAGCTGAAATTGTAGCCCTTGTAAATTACCTACGTGACATACCAGATAGTGTTCATGATCCATTTAGTACTCTGTTCTAAAAACGAGACAATATCCATTTATTCACTTGTTCATTTATTTAGTGTTTGTTCAGCCCTTACTGCATATTCCAGGCACTATTCTGACTGTGGCAGGAGTGAACAAACAGGCATGGTTCTTACTTGCATGTAATTACAGTCTTATAGTGAAAACAAGTGTTAAACAACAAAATCTCCCAATTATTTTAAAATTATAAACTTGATTCGATACTATGTGGCCATATAATTGTTCCTAATTTGGTTGGAGAAGGGAGGCAGTTAGGGAAGCCTTCCCTGAGTTAGTGCCATTTAACCTGATTTATGATAGATGATAAGTAATTTGTCAGGGGAAAAATACTCCAGGAATAAAGAACAGGTACAAAGGTCAGGTTCTGGGAAGAGCTTGTCTTGGTCCAGGAACTAAAAAATGTTAGAGTGGCTGGATCTGGGAAAGAGACAAAGAGTTATTAAATGAGGCAGCAGGCTTCAGCAGGTGCCACATTGCTCAGGGCCTTGTAGGCCATGCTAAGGATTTGGGATGTTAATGTCAGTACAAACAATTGAGTCATAAGCAGAAAGTAAAAGCATGATTCCATCAAATGTTATTCTCTAAACAGTAATTTTATAAATACAGGTTAAATGTGTGTGGTCCCAGCTACTCAGGAGGTCCCAGCTACTCAGTATTCCTTTTCAACAAATATTACGTGCCTACTATTAGCCAGGTACAGCCCTTAGCTACTTTGAATGAAGCATGTATTACAAACTGGCAGAATTTCTTAAACAAAGAATCTAAAGTTGTTTATACACCATAATCTCAGTATTTTATAAATTTCTTGAAATTATTTTTATTTACACTGCTTTGCAGAATTTTAACTGGCTTTGAAATAAACAATGACAATAGTCCTCCATGTTACTAGTTTCAAATTTTCCCAATACCTACTAAGACATTACTTAATCCACAGATTTACTGTCAATAGTTTGTATCAAATTGTGATAACATATTTGAAATTAATATTTCAAATTAAAGCAAAATCACAAATTTATACTTTATATTATGAATGAGATTCACAAAAGGAGCATGATAATATATTCTGTTGTCATCACATACAAAATAATAACATATAGAGTATGAATCAATAATTTTTCAAATACAAAGCTATTACAATTAGGAATACAAAGAAATCATAATTAGGAATACTTCTACAATATTAACACACAATAGTGGTAACACTTGCAAAATGATGGTGGTGTTTTTTTTGTTGTTGTTGTTTTGTTTTGTTTTCCCCGACAGAGTCTTGCTCTTGTTGCCCAGGCTGGAGTGCAATGGCGTGATTTTGGCTCACTGTGAACTCCACCTCCTGGGTTCAAGCGATTCTCCTGCCTCAGCCTCCCTAGTAGCTGGTATTACAGGTGCCTGCCACCACACCCAGCTAATTTTTGTATTTTTAGTAGAGATGGGGGTTTCACCATGTTGGCCAGCCTGGTCCCGAACTCCTGACCTTAGGTGATCCACCAGCATCGGCCTCCCAAAGTGCTGGGATTACAGGTGTGAGCCACTGCGTCCAGCCAGTGGTGGGTCTCATATCTCAATGTGGACTTTTACTAACTCCCGTTGCCTCAGTTTCCTCATCAGTTGAAAGGAATGAATGAAAGATATGTGTTTTTCATATTACCAGGTAGAGGATAAGGAGATTTTAATTTTCTTTTTTTTTTTAACTTTTATTTTAAGTTTAGGGGCATTTGTTACATAGGTAAACTGGTGTCACAGGGGGTTATTGTACAGATTATTTCATCACCCAGGTATTAAACCTAGTACCCAATAGTTATCTTTTCTGCTTCTCTTCCTTTTCTCACCCTCCACCCTCAAGTAGACCCCAGTGTCTGTTTTATTCTTTGTGTTCATGAGTTCTCATCATTTAGCTCCCACTTATAACTGAGAGTATGCTGTATTTGGTTTTCTGTTCCTGCATTAGTTTGCTAAGGATAATAGAAGGTCCATCCATATTCCAGCAAAAGACATGATATCATTTTTTAGTGGCGGCATAGTATTCCATGGTGTATATGTACCACATTCTCTTTATCCAATCTGTCATTGATGGGCACTTAGGTTGATCCTATACTTTTGCTATTGTGAACAGTGCTGCAATGAACATTTGTATGCATGTGTCTTTATGGTAGAATGGTTTATATTCATCTGGGTATATACCCAGTAGTGGGATTACTGGGTCGAATGGTAGCTCTGCTTTTAGCTCTTTGAGGAATCACTATTCTTTGCACAATGATTGAACTGATTTGCACACCCACCAACAGTGTATAAGCATTCCCTTTTCTCCATAGCCTCACTAGCATCTGTTATTTTTTGACTTTTTAATGATAGCTATTCTGACTGGTGTGAGATGGTATCTCATTATGGTTTTGATTTGCATTTCTCTAATGATCAGTGATGTTGAACTTTTTTTTTGTATGTTTGTTGGCTGCATGCATGTATTCTTTTGAAAACTGTCTGTTCATTCCCTTTGCCCAATTTTAATGGGGTTGATTGTTTTTCTTTTGTAAATTTCTTTACATTCGAAATGTTTTTATTACTAAGTTGAGCTGCCTCATTCTTAGTATGGTTTTTCACTTTAAAAAGCATAAGGGTGGACATGGTGGCATATGCTAGTAATCCCAACTACTGGGGAGACTAATACAGGAGGATTGCTTGAGCCCAGGAGTTCAAGACTATAATGTGCTATGATCATGACTGTGAACAACCACTGTACTGCAGCCTGGGCAGAGTGACATAGTGAAACCACATCTCTAAAAAAAGAGAAAATGTAATTTAAATCTTTAAATACATATGTATATGTGTGTATATATGTATATATATTGCATATATCAGAAATGGTTTGTAGTTTCCATTCACAGCACATAGTAAAATGTCTTAACCTCCTCCCTCCTCCCTATGTGTGTTTTTCTAAGTGTGCGTCTTTTTTACCTTAATTTTTCTCTTAGTGTCTCATAGTCTTCCTAGGTCTCCCTCTTTCTTCTGTCTTTCACACACACACACACACACACACACACACACACACACGCATGCGTACACGCATGTACCTTGAAAAATAGCTTTTCTTTTTCTTAAAACTTCCCAAAGCTTTCATAAAATTAGCCCTCAGGCACTCTTACGTATCTCATCCACTCTTCTTCCTCTCTCCCCTTCCTGAAGCCATTTGTAACTTACTCTATTACACTAGGAAGGGGAAGCAAATATTCATATTATTTTCTTGTTATATCCTTAGCATTACTAGACCTTTGTGGTTTCTATGGATGAGGGACATAATATTTATTGATTTATTCTAAACTTCAGTCACTCATAATATACCCTTTTATTCCTCCTTCTTCTGTGATATTGGGAGTGTATAGTTGTCATTGTGACAAACCCTTTGCTGTCAGTATCTAAAGTGGGAATATAATTGAGGACTAGATGTTCCTGTTTTATATCCTACAGGGCTGGCATCTCTAATGCTGAAAGTACAACAAAGTGCAGTGGTAGTCACTGAGTGTTCAGCCATGCTGGGTCATCACAAGAAAAGGAGATCGTCTTCCCATTCCTATCAATGACCTCATCTCTACCAGATATATAACTGGAAAAACAATGCATTTGCTTAAACATCCACAGTGAGCCACACTTGTTTGGTGTTGTGGGGAAATGATGGAGAAGCATCCTTGTTTATTAAGGATCCAATTTTGATAGGCTGAGGCATATTTTTCCTCCCAAGTCTGCACATGGTCATGCATTAAATATTAATGAGCATCTTCTCTCTATCAGGATTTGGGGGATATGTTCACCTCTTGGGAGGTGAACATGATAAATAAGATCCTTTCTCTCATGTAGCATTCTCTCCATTCTTTTTTTTTTTTTTTTTTTTTGATAGGGACTAGCTCTGTCACCTAGGCTAGAGTGCAGTGGTGCAAACATGACTCGCTGCAGCCTTGACCTCATGGACTCAAGTGACCCTCAAGTGATCCTCTTGCCTCCACAACATCCAGCTAACTTTTAAAAAATTTTTTGAAGAGAAGGTTTTGCCATGTTGCCTCAGCCTCCTGAAGTGGTGGGATTACAGGTGTGAGCCGCTGCACCTGGCCACATTTTCTTTCCATTCTTGTGGAAGGCAGTAGTCAGCAAAACAGTTAATCAATTGAGAATATATTAGGTTGTTGTAGGAACCATGAAAAAATAAAATAGAGTGTGTAAAGAAGGCTTGATGGCCAGGAAGCTTTTACAGGGAAGTGACATTTGAACTGAGACCAAATACTTAAAGAAGCCAGTTCTTTGAAGAGTTGACGGGAAAGTATTCCAAGAAGTGGGAATGGCAAGGGGAAAAGACTTAAGATGTAACCTCAGAATGATTAAGGAGGAGCATGGTACAAGAGGATGTCAGAAACATAGCCAGGAAAGAGAGCTATGCTTAAGTATTAGGATTTTATTCTTTGCAAAGGAAAAGCCCATTGAAGCTTTAAAGCAAGGACCTAAGAGTTAACATAATTTTTTAAGGTACCTTAAAAATTTTGCTGAATGAAAAATTCATTGAAGTGAGTCAGGAATGTATGATTTTGGACAACTGACACAATGCCTGAGGCATAGTTTCTTCATATGGAAATTGGAGACAATGATCATATCTACCTTAGCGGATTATATAATGAATTATTTTCCTAGGGCTCCTGTAATAAAGTACCACAAACTGGGTAACTTAAGCAACAGAAATTTATTGCCTCACAATTCTAGAGGTGAGAAGTCCAGATCAAGAAGCTGGCAGGGCTAGGCTGCCTGAAAAGGTGCTAAGGAAGGAACTGTTCCAGTCCTCTTTCTCTCCTTCCAGTAGTTCCTTGGCTTGTGACAGCACAGTGTCAATTCTCATATGGCATCCTCCCTGTGTGCCTGTCTCTATGCCCAAATCTCCCTTTTATTTAAGGACAGAGTCACAGTGGATTAGAACACCCCCATAACATGAAGATTGCATGAAATTATATACATAAATAATTCAACAACATAGCTTCCAAATAGAAAACACTCAGCCTTTGTCATCTCATCATTATTTGTTTCCACCTTTGTATTACTGGTATAGCTCTAGTCTTTTGAAAGGTGCAGTTACTCATCTTTGTGTTTTCCACTCCTTTATAGCAAAGTGTAAGGTGCTTTTGCAAAATCCAGTACTGCATATTTGAGAAATGCTTTTTATTCCTACACATACTGCATATACTGTTACACAATTCGATTTTGTAGGTCTAATGAAGTTGGTCTTTCTATGAGTTCCTATGGCTAAAAATAGTCACAATTGTGTATTCCAGTAAATTGTTAGAATGAAGGAAAATAGTTTGAGTGAAATTATCAATCTGGTTTTTCTGACTTCAGCTGTGTGTCATGTTTGGTTAGTCAAGAGAAACATCTAATGTGAGGCCCCTGGAGGACAGCTGATAAGTAAGCATACCAAGTAGAATGGCTACTGGAAAAAGTGTGCCAGCTAGAGAGAGAGAGAAAAGAGAAAGTTAATTTACCATTTGCTCAAGTAAGGAATGATCCACAAATTCAACAAAATCTAAGTAGTCTTAAAGGACATGTCATTGACAGATTTATCTTCTAGTCTCCCACTTTGTCTAACACTGCTTCAAAACAAAGCAATTTACTGAACCCAGTGGTCTCATTATTCTGGAGGTTTATAAGGTTAAAAATACCTGGAGTTTTGGGAGCAGCAATAGCACTGAAGTGGGATATTAGTAGTGATGCGTGTGTTTGCAGCACCTGTGAACACACAGAGACTGAAGCTTGAAGGCTGATGACACTGAGTTAGGGGAAAAGATAAAACTTTTTATTAGATTTTTTTAATGTCAAGAAGAAAATTATTTATCTCCACATTTCTTGAATATTATCCTCTTACAATTAGGTCAATGATTCTCACCCCAGTTATACATTAAAATTACCTGGAGATATATAAAAACTATCAATGTTCTACTCTTCTACAGATTAAATCATCATCACTGAGGGTGGCCCTCCAGCAACCAGGTTTGAGAACCACTTCAGACCAGAATTTTTCTCTGTGCCATTCAGTAATGACAAGATAACTGTAGGATACGCAAATTGCAGAAAGACAACTGCAAATTATTTCGCTTATCCCCAAACAGCTGAACTATCTTAAGCCTCATGGCTACTTTAGAGTGACCAAATCCATGTAGACGCCAGAAGTTGTGTCATACACCTATTTCAAGGGACACATAGAATTTACCTATATATACCTACCTCAAGGGTCATGTCGGTTTACCATTCCCCTAAACAACAGCTTAATAGTATAAACTGCTGAACTGCTGTCTGCCTAATATTTATTGTGGCTATACTTCTTCTTTTCTGTATTAAAGGCCACTGCTTCTCCCAGCTTGCTCTTTGTTCTCCATCATCTGTTGTAGGTCACTTGTGCTTTCTGTTTTTAACACCCGTGTTGCTGAAGTCATTTCTCCAATTCATGATCCATGAAACTACTTCAGCAGTGAAAATGGCACCCCTCAGGTTCAAGTCAACATTTTTATATTTCCCTCCAGGTCAAGATCCAAGCTATGGAAGAAATCAGGATATGTCAATTTTCTAGAGCAGCCAAGTTTTCTAAAAGTCTACCTAGCCATGTAGTTATGTAGCCTCACTCTCACTTAAACAAAGAAAATTAAAAAGCACACCAGAAAAGACTTTTCTTGTTAAAAACACATGTTTATTGTAGAAAATATAGTAAGGAAAAGAAGAAAATATAAGGCAACTAGAATTTCTCTAGTTAGAGATAACTATTATTTATTTGAGTGTGTGTATATATCTATATATATATATTGACCTTCAGCTCTTATGTACTAGATACACACATCTACTCTTTCATAAGCTTTTTTCACAGAATAGATTATAATCAGTTAGTTATCACCACAACATTTTCTTCTTGAAGACCTTCTGGAATGAGGCATTTGCTTTTCTATCTAGAGACCCTATCCTTTCAAAAGGTCCTTTCTCTGTGGAAAGAGCTATTCTGGCCACAGTTACTGCCAAGAAACGAGGTGTTAGAAAAGGCCTAAAGTTAAGTGCAGAACTGCTGTGTTTTGATGAATATTCTGTTGTTTTGAGAGGAGGTAGAAGCATTCTCAGCTTCAGGATGTTTGCTCACTACTCATTAGTCTCTCTGAGAAGTAGCAAACTTCAAAGGTTAAGTATGAAGAGATGAATTGTGTAATGCCTAGATGTCAGTAGCGGAGAAGGTATCTGAACAAAGTCAGAATTTTATCCCTGTCTCCATGGGCCTAGTGTGAAGAACAGTCATTTGTGTAAGTGGGTCTTTGTGTATATGGTACTGAATCAGGTCACTGAGTCAGAAACTTAGAGCTGTAAGGAAAGTGAGGTGCTCTCCAGTCCAGTGTTCTGGAATTTCTTCTGCAGTGGCCCCCAACAGCAGGTGGCAGCCTCGTCCATGATTGTATTCTTAAGTGACATGGTATTACTCTTTCTATTTGCAATCCATTTCACTGATGGATAGTTCTAGAGATCTGAAATATTGAGATTTAGCTCAGTGTTGTTTATATGAAGATAAATTCCGCTTTCCAACAACTCTCTTGTATGTGTCTAATGTCTGCCGCATGGAATGTCACAGATTATGCTTCATACTTGTCTTCCTGAGTCTTCTTTATCCCGAACACGCTGAGTTTTTGAATGGTTGACATGCCAGCTGGCTTTCTGCAGATGTACTTCTCGTGTGTAAATTTCCTTCTCTGTGAGGTATTCATATTGAACATGACCTCCAAGTGTGTTTGGGTCTGTGCAGAAGACAATAGGACTGTGATTTCTGATGATTAAAACCTGGATTGTATGTTACTGTCATCAGACACTGAGATTGAGTTAGCAAGTTTTATAGCATCTGAGTCGCTCTGTTGGAGGAAAGTGCATGTGATGGGCATTTGCTTGCTTCCCCACCAGATTCTCTACCTTCACCCTTCCTGCAAGATTCCCTAGGAAGCTGACTTCTGCTGAATGCAACACTCAGGTTCTCTGCTTCCTAGATTCTAGTTGAGTTTGGTCCATGGGAGGCCTTGGCAGAAATTTTGAGAGTAAGAGCAAATAATTACTTAACCATTAGAAAAAAATAACATGAATGTGTCCTTCTATCCATGGCCTCAGTTCCTGTTGGGGAGCCTCGGTGCCAATCCCTCGGTGCGTCACCATTTCTAATTAGTTCCTGTTTTAGTCTGCTTTTGCGCGCGCGCGCATGTGTGTGTGTGTGTGTGTGTGTGTTGTTATAAAGGAATACCAGAGGCTGAGTAATTTTAAAGAAGAGAGGTTTATTTGGTTCACAGTTCTGAAGGTGTGCAAGAAGCATGGTGCCACCATTTGCTTCTGGTGAGGGCTTTAGGCTGTTTCCACTCATGGCAGAAGGGGAAGGGAAGCTGGCATGTGCAGAGATCATGTGGCGAGAGAGAGGGGTTTGTGCCAGGCTCTTGTTAACAACCAGCTCTTGTGGGAATTAAGAGAGCTAGAACTAGGTGGGCACGGTGGCTCACGCCTGTAATCCCAGCACTTTGGGAGGCCGAGGCAGGCGGATCATCTGAGGTCAGGAGTTTGAGACCAGCCTGGCCAACATGCTGAAACCCCGTCTCTACTAAAAATACCAAAAATTAGCTGGGCATAGTGTTGGGCACCTGTAATCCCAGCTACTCTGGAGGCTGACACAGGAGAATGGGTTGAACCCGTGAGGTGGAAGTTGCAGTGAGCCAAGATCGCACCACTACACTCCAACCTGGGCAGCAAGAGTGAAACTACATCTCTAAAAGAAAAAAAAGAGAGCGAGCAAGAACTCACTTGGATGGCACCAAGACATTCGTGAGAGGTCCACACTCAGGACCAAAACACCTCCCATTAGGCCCCCCCTCCAACAATGGGGATCACATTTCAACATGAGTTTGGAGTGGTCAAATATCCAAACCCTAGCAGTTCCCTTAACCCTGGAAAGAGACCTTTCATTAAACTCTTTCTGCTTAATCCTTTGAGAGTGGAACAATTTCCTGCTAGGACCGTGACAGATAGAGGGACCATACAGATCACTAAAATGCTGAGGAATTTTTCAAATGAACTGCACCCAACAGACCTCCCTGATTCTGAATATATCAAACCTTTATTTTTTATTTTATTTTATTTAATTTTTTGAGACGGAATCTCACTCTGTCGCCCAGGCTGGAGTGCAGTGGTGCGATCTCGGCTCCCTGCAACCTCCACCTCCTGGGTTCAAGCGATTCTCCTGCCTTAGCCTCCCGAGTAGCTGGGACTACAGGCATCCACCAGCACGCCCGGCTAATTTTTTATTTTTAGTAGAGACGGGGTTTCACCATGTTGACCAGGCTGGTCTTCAACTCCTGACTTCATGATCCGCCCACCTTGGCTTCCCTAAGTGCTTGGATTACAGGCGTGAGCCTCTGCACCCAGCCAAACTTTAAAAAAAACCCCAAATAGTACTTTGAACTTCACCCGCAGGGAGTTATTCAAATTGGTTGTCAGCCAGTTATTTCAGGTTGTTGAGATCATCTGGCTCTTGATCTTATTAATCATCTTAGCCTTCCCTTTCAACAATTTGCTGACTTTGTGCAAATTTTATTAATATGTGATCTCTGTCTTTATCCATGGAGAGGCAGTATAGTATCATGAGGAAAAATAGACTTTGGAGTAGGCAGAAATTAGGTTTGAATTACTAGCCACGAGGCTTTGGAAACATTACTTAAACTCTATAAGCTTCAATTTCTTTACCTATAAGGTAGGTATAAAACCCGAAAGTTTTGACATGAGTTTAGTAAAACTGTCTGTGAAGCCCTTGTGGACTGCTTGGTCCATGTAGGCATTTGATAAATGGTGGCTTTATATAGAGGAGGGAAATGCAAGCTATCTCAAAAAGAAATCAGGGAAATAAGAATGCCATCTGAAATCTGTCATAGGAGAATGAAAGGAGCATAGACAGGTTTTGAGTGTGGGGTGAGGAGTAGGGGAGGGGAGGAGATAAGTGAACTGCCCCTCAGACTTCCAGGGAGGAGAAAAATGATGTCACTGGGAACTGCAGTCATTTGAAAAGATAGCAATCAAGCATTTCTTTCGGAGCCCTGTTCATCTTTCAGTGGCTTTGCTTCTCCAGATGCTTTTGCTCCTTCAATTATCTCTGCCTTCTCCCACTTCCTGTCCAACCATCTCTTCCCTTCCTTAATTCACAATTTTTCTCCCTCTTTTCAAGGCATAGTGCTTTGATTTATAAATTAGTTCTATGTTTCTGTTTTCTAATTTATTAGTTTCTGCTTTCTTATTTATTTATTTTGAGATGGAGTGTCACTCTGTTGCCCCAGTTGGAGTGCAGTGGCATGATCTCGGCTCACTGCAACCTCTGCCTCCCAGGTTCAAGAGATTCTCCTGCCTCAGCCTCCCAAGTAGCTGGAATTACAGGAGTGCGCAACCAAGCCTGGCTAGTTTTTGTATTTGTAGGAGAGACAAGATTTCACCATGTTGGCCAGGCTGGTCTGGAACTCCTGACCTCAGGTGATCTGCCTGCCTCAGCCTCCCAAAGTGCTGGGATTACAGATGTGAGTCACCGTGCCTAGCTTTCTTTCATATTTATTAATACATTATTTCCACTTTCCTAAGGATAGTTGTTGTTCAACCTTTACTAGCTTTTTTGTTGTTCATACTTAATACATTTATTTTTATTGTGCTATAGCTATTTCCCACATGTGATTTTTTTTTTTTTTTTTGAGATAAGATCTTGCTCTGTTGCTGAGGCTGGAGTGCAGTGATATGATCATGGCTTGCTGAAGCCCTGAACTCCTGAGGTTGGGTGATTCTCCCACCTTAGCCTCCCAAGTAGATGGGATTACAAGAAGTACCACTATACCTGGCTATTTAAAATTTTTTTTTGGTGTGTGTGGAGATGGAGTCTCCCTATGTTGTCCAGGCTGGTTGTGAACTCCTGGCCTCAAGTGATGCTGCCACCTTGGCATCTCAAAATGCTGGGATTACACATGTGTAATATTTTTATTATCACCATTTTCCACATATTCTGGAAATTTTATTTGGATTTCTTTTTTTTTTTTTTTTTGACAGAGTCTTGCTGTGTCACCTAGGCTGGAGTGCAGTGGTGCAATCTCAGCTCACTGCAACCTCCACCTTCTGGGTTCAAAGAATTTCTCCTGCCTCAGCCTCCTAAGTAGCTGGGATTACAGGCATGCGCCACCAGGCCCTGCTAATTTTTGTATTTTTAGTAGAGACAGGGTGTCGCCATGTTGACGAGGCTGGTCTTGAACTCCTGACCTCAAGTGACCTGCCCACCTTGGCCTCCCAAAGTACTGGAATTACAGGCATGAGCCACTGTACCCAGCCTGGATTTCTTTTTGACATAGAATTATTTAAGAGAAAGCTTTTAAATTTCCATGCCGTAATTTCTAGTTTTGTTGTGTCATAATCAGAGAATATAATCTGTAGCATTTCTACAGTCTCTACTTTGCTTAGATGTTTTTGCGGTGGGGTGTGTAATATGTACTCAATTTTGTAAACATTTTATGGACATACAAATTTCAATGTTTACTTTTTCAGGCTATAGGCTTTGCTACATAATTTTTGTGTATTTTGTGGTTCTCATATAGATTTTTAAATTATCTTTTTGCTGTGATAGAGATTAGAAGGGTAAATTAATGTCTCATTTACCATCATTTTTCTTTCTGTATTTCTTTTCATTTCCTGATGCTTTGGCTTTATGAAATCTTTATGTATAAAAATTGTGCACACATATCTTTATGCACAGTGTTTTGGATTTTACCCTTCATAATGAGCTTTTTTCTCTCCTTTGAATTTGACCTGGCCTGGTGTTAACAGCCCAGGTGTAAAATTCCAGTGAGAAAGAAGTCTGATGAGGAGTCAGTAGGATCTTTGGGTTGCTGAGAACTGCTCAGTACCACGGACAGCTCCCTGCACTCCAGGAAACATCCTGATTCAGTGTCTTGAGTATTGTGAAGCACAGTTAGAGCAGAAACATGGAGAATCACCTTAAAATGGCAAATTGGCTTCTGGTCTTGCATAAGACTTCATTGAGGCCTAATGGGCTATGCAGGTCTACTGTCCAAAGTACAGAGGTTATTCCTAGTGTCTTTAATATTACTGTCCCTTTAGGCAAGATTATCCTTATGATAAGGGAGACTGAATTAAGCTATTTTGGCTGAGGCATATTTTTATAAATTCATCCAATTAGCTTCCCTTGTTGTAGTTTTGGCTCGCCAAACATTGTTCTGATTATAATTTAGCATCCCATATAATTTCATCTGCAGGGAGAGTCTGTACTAGGCATGACGATGCTTACATATCAGCCCATGTGACTGCAAGAGTCTCAGTATAATTTGATAACATGGCACTCAGATTCTAGACATTATTCTCTGTGTGCTTAGTGAGTGTGATGACATAACCTTCAGAAAGATTCATCCTTTCTCACATATTGATAAATCAACTTTTACATCTACAAAGTTGAGAGCCAGAAATTAAAACCTTATTAATTCACTAAGGCATCCCTATGACGGCAGTCTTCCAACTAGCTCCATTCTGGGGCACTCTGACATCATCGTACACTTTCCAATGAAAGCAGGGAGTGTATGTGATTAAAGGGAGAGCCCTGTGGCACTCCTGAAAAATCTCCCCTCCCAGTTCACATTGACTTATTAACCAACACTCATGATCATGTGAAACTCTAGAACTGGATCTGGGTGCCTGGCAGGATGACATGGTGTGAGGCTCAAGCAGCACTGTGGGAATTCAAGCATCTGTTTATTTCTGAGAGAAAAAGTGTAAAGCAAAATAATATCTTTTAACAAACATTTGTATTTGACTAAAAAGGAAGCAAGCACTTAGAATTTCTGAATTTGCTAATTGCTCTTCTGAGCTGAGAATATCTGTGTTGAATATTAGTCATTATCCAGATTTGGCACAGAATAATCCCGAGGGTTAAATGACATTGTTCCTACAGTGGGCACCTGAAGACTGGCTATAAAAGCAATCCTGGACAGGGGCGGTGGCTCACGCCTGTAATCCCAGCACTTTGGGAGGCCAAGGTGGGTGGATCACGAGGTCAGGAGTTCGAGACCAGCCTGGCCAACATAGTGAAACCTCATCTCTACTAAAAATACAAAAAAATTAGCTAGGCATGGTGGCAGACACCTGTAATCCCAGCTACTTGGGCAGCTGAGGCAGGAGAATCACTTGAACCTGGGAGGCAGAGGTTGCAGTGAGTCGAGATTGCACCAATGCACTCCAGCCCAGGCGACAGTGTGAGACTCTGTCCAAAAAAAAAAAAAAAAAGAAAAAAAAGAAGAAAAAAAGAAAAAGGAAAAAAAAAGGAAAAATAAATAAATAAGTAAATAAATAAATACATAAAAGCAACCCTAACACTACTGAGGCTATGACAGTGGCACTTTGCTCTTCTGTTAGGACCTTGGGAAAATTTTTTCCCCCTGTATACAGTATAATAAACTTGGTTCTTATTTCTCTTTCTCTCCCCCTCATTTTTTCTTCCCTCCCCACTACCACATGCACACACACAAATAGACAGATTTGTTTATATTTGACTTTCTAAAAACCTGTTACTAGAAAGGCACATTAATACATTTCTCCTGTGCTGATAGTAATCAGGCAACTCTGGTTTCTATCGGAGGCAATTTCTTACGTATTAAATGCCAGAAAAAGGGCATCCCTCCATTTTTGTAGAGAGCCTTTCTTTATGAAGACTAATGACCACATTAGTTAGTCAGTCAGTCAATAATACTTACCAAATGTCAGTAGAGCAGAAGTGAACACCAACAGAAAATCACATTTTACAAATGCAATTTACTTGGTATCCTAACATGCCATGTCATAATAATTATTGAGGCTTTTCTTCTCTGCTGCATTGGTCTAATGAATGTGGCTAGAAAAATATGGGTGCCCATGTAGCCTCCTGGAAGCACCTGTATGACTTTTCTAGAAGCGAGGTTCCTGGATAAAGATGAATTTTTAAAAGCTGGAATGAATGAGCAGCAATAGCAGGAGGAGAAAAGTGAGTGAGGGCTCTCCAAGAAGCCATCTGGCAGGCTAAGGGTTCTGAGGGAAGCTCTGGTTTCAGAAGCAACTCAGGAATTACTTCTGTCATATTAGGATGGGATGGTAGGAGATTGGGAACTCTAGGGACTAGAGGTCATTTAATTTCCTGTCTACAATCCTTAGAAGAGGTTTTGAGACTTGCAACCTAGGACCTTAACTAATCATCTTCCCTCAGAATTGATAGAATTCTTTATTATACATGTTAATATCAGATTAGTCAGGATGGGCTAGATTATGCTGTGTTAACAGCCATTCTCTAAATCTCTGTGGCTCAACAGGGAGCTCTGCCTGTCATGGTCACTTGGGACCCAGGCTTTGGGTATAAGGCTACAGCACATGGAAAACGTATGAATGTCTCTCAGATTCTTAAAGCTTCTGCTGGAAGTGACATGTCATTCTGCTCACAGTTCATTGGCTAAATGAGTCACGTGGCTCTCTCTAACTTCAAGGATGGTATGAAATTGCAATCCTACCATGTTTCTAGAAGGAGAACCAGCCCTAATCACAATGCTACATGTTTATAGCTTGCCTTATAGAGTTTACTGTATTCTCCTGGTATAATTTTCTTACATGCTCAACTGGAGAGGAAGCTCTTAAATAGAAAAAAATCACAGTAAATTTCCTTTAAGAGATCTATTTTACAACTCTGGCATGATGGAGCACAATGGAGTCCTTAGTAATGGACTCCATCTCTTCCATCAGATCAAATCTTGAGAACTGAAGTTAAAATTTGAATAATGAAACCAAAGGAAAAAAATTAAATGAATTTTAAGACAATTGAGATAAGAAGAACTGTGGCATCAGCATAATTCAATTTAATAATGTATTAAATATTTTGCAGAAAAGTGAAAAGAAATTGATAGCCAAATCAATGCAGCATTAAGTCACCATTTGGTCTAATTTCTTGCTGAATTGACAAAACAAAACACTAGTTTAGTTATATAAACATGGCTGATGTTTATACAAACAACAGAATTTGCTGGTAGCATTATCACTGGAAAATAAGATGTGTACTTAATTCTTGTATGTTCTGAGCCCATCTAGGAAGAACATAAAAGACGAAGAACAAAGCAATCACAGGATGTTATCATGAAAATATCACTTTTGGCTGGAGTAAAGTTTTGGCTAAATGTGGCACTAGTATTTATTACAGCTCACCTTTTTATAATGAAAGGCTATGGACTGAACATTCTTATTATTTCCCATTTTCTTACCACTCTATCCCAATACACATGCACATGCATGCACACGTGCACACACACTGGCACCCACACCCATGCATGTGGGACACACAGAGCAGCCCAGGCGATTTCAATTGTTGGGAGCTTTGCTTTTATTAGGTATTAGTCTATGGACTCGCTTTCTCTTTAGAGAGACTAAGTGAAACCAAACTCATTTCTACCCAGTTAGCCTGCTGGAACCTGTAACAGTTACTGTAATGTTAAAAGCAGTAAAACAAAATAAAAACCAGTCAGTTCACTTACTCCCGAAGTCCGCAGTTTGGTGTTCAGCTTTAAAACGTGCTCTGGGCGTCCTGTGGTGGCTACCAGAGGCTTTGGTGAGTCATTGTCAACCCAGTGGCTAGAGAAGTGCTGGAATGCCCCTCTTAAATACAGAACCACGTTTGTCCTTCAGAATGGCTGCTTGAACGAATTTATTGCTCAACTTGAAAGGCCATTTTTTATAACCCACTGCAGTTGTGCTTCATGGGTTTCTCCACCTATCCTGTGAAGTGTATTGGGAAATTAATTTTGTAGATTTCCTCACACTGCAGTGACTAGGGAAATCACCCATTCGTTATTATCTAATGAGGAGAAAGTGGAAACATCTAGAAGCACTGCTCCCATCCTCCTCCCCAGCCCACACAGACACCTACCTCAGGCCCTCCCTGTCCCAGGTGAGCAGAGGGCCCCACCTTCAGAGGTTGCCTCCCTTCCACCTTCACCAATCCTATGACCAGATTATCCCCAAGGAAATGTCAATTTCCAGGCAGCAAGGGAATCATATAAAGATAAGATCATTGAGAGATTTTTTTCCTCCGTGATTGGCAGTTTATATTTTCTTGGGTCTACAAATCTGACAGCATTTATTAAATTTTCTAGTTTGATACTGACCTCTGTCTGATGCTGGGCTGTCACCATGCCCAAGACTGAGGGGACCCACAGTCTAGCTAGAAGGCATGGATCAATTCCAACTGTCCTACCCCTAGCCTGTGGGCAGGAGAAATCTCTCAGGCTCTGGCAGAGGAGTCCCAGGGGCAGGATGCATGATCTTCCACTGTGCCTCCCAGCCATGCTGAGCAGCAAAGCAGACCATGAGCACGTCTCCCTTAAATTCATTTGCTTGATTTGTCCTTGAGTGTCCTTGGATGGGTTTGTTCCCTCCTTGTCCAGTATGTCTTGGTCATCCTGATTCCTGGGCTTGGCTCCCAGGTTGATTCTTTCCCTGACACAAAACAGGCACTATGGGCAAAGACACCTGCAGCCTTAGAGAGACCAGAGATGCTGGATGTTTCCTGTTAGCACTCAGGAAAGCTCAGAGCCTTTGATGAGCATCTTTTGATCCATTAGTTAAAACCACACTGGGTTCTTTATACTGGTTAGTTAGCTCTGGGCTATGGATTGTGGCAGACATTTATTTCTTCTTTGGATTCACCTGGATTTTCTGCAATGGACATGTATCGATAAAATACATGGTGCTTTTCAGAAATTGCCCCATCATCATGTTGCTGTTGTTGTTATTGATATTGTTGTTTCTGATGGATAGAGATCTAGGCCTGACACTCCAAGAAGTGTGAACAGCATTTACCTTGATAAGCATTCCTACATCTTAACCCTTGGGAATTTTAAATAGAAGTGTTCCGTGTGATTAAATTAACAGGTTTAGAGATGGGTGTCCTGGTTATTTCCTTTATTCTCCTCCTGGTAGCTGCCTGCACTCACAGCATGTTGGGAATGGTGATTATAAATGTAACCATGCTCTCTTCTTGTAAGTGGAGAGCCCAGGTACCTCTTATCCAGCATGTGACCCTCTTTCTACCTCAGGATAGTCATACTCTTAGGCTTCCTGGATTTATTCAGGGGCCAAAGGAGTGGTCAAGGTCCTTTTTGTTTTGCCCTACTCCCTTTGGAAAACATTTAGTTTATGCCCATGTTACAGATTGCAAAATACAGGCACATATTCTCACTAATGTGGTCTGCATGTCCCTTTGCAAGGACATGCAATGTGACTTCACTACTCCTTTCATCAAGAAAAGGAGCCTCTTGGCCAGGCACGGTGGCTCACGCCTGTAATCCCAGCACTTTGAGAGGCCAAGGCAGGTGGATCACGAGGTCAGGAGATGGAGACCTCCTGGCTAACACAGTGAAACACAGTCTCTACTAAAAAATACAAAAAAAAAAAAAATTAGCCAGGCGTGGTGGCAGGTGCCTGTAGTCTCAGCTACTTGGGAGCCTGAGGCAGGAGAATGGCATGAACCCAGGAGGCAGAGCTTGCAGTGAGCCTAGATCGTGCCACTGCACTCCAGCCTGGGCAACAGAGCGAGATTCTGACTCAAACAAAAAAAAAAAAAAAAAAAAAAGAAAAGAAAAGGAGCCTCTTTACCCTAATCTGGGCAAGCCTTGCAACCTGATTTGCCAAAAAAATATGAAGGAAGCAATGTGATGTGATTTTCCAGGCTAGAATGTAAGAAGCCTTGGAGCTTCTGCTTTTACTGTCTTCAGATGCTGCCTGAAACCACTGTAAGAAGCTCTAACCTACTGGAGGATAAGGGGTGAGCCCAAGAGCATCAAGGCTCCCATCAACAGCCAGTCCTGTGAGTGAGGCCATCTTGGACCTGCCAGCTCAGTAAACCCTTTTGCTGAACACAGCCCAAGGAAGGAACCCTTGCAAAATGAAATCATGTGGTCAGTTTGCGGGGTGGTTATTACACAGCAGTAGATGATTGAAAAGGCCCAGTGTCTTCCTGGGGACTGAAACACCCACCTCCTGTTCATGTTGATACACGGTGAGCAGAATATGGATGTGGGAGTGGTGTTGGTTGCAGGTGAGGTAGAGAAGCAGTGAACAGAGCACGAAGACCTTATGTTCCAGGGTCGGGAGTTTAGACTTGATCCTAACAGCAGCCATAGGCGGATTTAGGCAAGAGAGTAACGTGGTCAGATTTTCATTTTAGAAAGTTACTCTGACATCCATGTGGAGAATGAACTTGAAGGTCACAAGGCTGATGGAGCCAGGAAGACCATTTGGGAGGTGATTGTAGTAATCTACTTAAGAGTTCATTACGAGCTGGGGAATGGGGAGGTGTTAGAGAAGAGAAAATGGATTTGAAGAGCTGAGGGATGTTAAAAAGGCAAAAGTGGGCCAGGGATGGTGGCTCATGCCTGTAATCCCAGCACTTTGGGAGGCCAAGGTGGGCAGATCATGAGGTCAAGAGATTGAGATCATCTGGGCCAATATGGTGAAATCCCCTCTCTACTAAAAATACAAAAATTATCTGGATGTAGTGGCACACACCTATAATCCCAGCTACTTGGGAAGCTGAGGCAGGAGAATCGCTTGAACCCAGGCAGCGGAGGTTGCAGTGAGCTGAGATTGCACCACCGCACAGCAGCCTGGTGACAGAGCAAGACTCCGTTTAAAAAAAAAAAAAAAAAGGAAAATTGTTGGGACTTGCAATTAATTGGGTGAGGAAACTGAGTGGCAAATGGTCTCAGCTCTACACATGGAGAGCCCTGGGGACATAGGGAGAGCACATTTGGAAGGAAAGATGATGATTTTAGTTCTTAAAATTTTGTTTGTGGAGAAGGCATTCAGACAGAGAATTCTGTTGGGCAGTTTTATGTAGAGAACTACATCTAAAGAGGTCAGAAGTGAACTTCAATAAAATTGAGGTGACCAATGATCATCAGTTTTAAAGAGGACATATTTTCTTTTTCTGTTAAAGGGAACACACCTATGAGTCAGAAAGCCAGGCTTTTATTTTTTCTCGCCAAAGTTATTGTACAACCTACAGAAGAGAGTGTAAACACTGGTCTTTAAGATGAATTGTAAAGCTCTAAAGAGAATAAGAAAAATTGTGTTTCATGATTTATGATGGATAACATTTTAGAGTTGATTTCATAAGAGAATTCATTAAGCCAATAGACAACCATGGCATTTTAACTGTAGTGTTTAAGTATCTTTAGCTCTGATTTTTTAATTAGCAGAAGCAAATAAAGAGAGCTTCGTTTTAACCATGAGAAATCTCTCTTCTGTACTTCATGTGACTAAATTTGTCCAGATGCTGCCGTTCAAATAATCACAGCGATTGCCAACATAATGGTTAATTTCCTGAGAAGTAAGTTCATGCTTTGCCTCAGTTTGCTCCCCTGTAAGATCAGACAGAAAAATAAGAATAAAACCGACTAATAGGTATTGATTGCCTCTGGAACAGCTATCAATATAAAGAGCCAGACAAAACGCATAATAAAGAATTGTGTTAGTGCCAGAGAGACTTTAGAGATCATTTGCCCATCTCTTTACCTTCTCCCACTTCTTTCTGTCCCTCCACCCCCCAGCTCTGATACAGACACACGGGATATTAGTAAAGGATAGTATTTGTTGAGAGCCTTTTGCGTGTCAGGCACTGCTTCTAAACATTGTATAATACCAGCTCATTCAATCTTCAAATCAATGCTATACAGTAGGTACTCTTCTTCTTTTTTTTTTTTTAAATTTTACAGCTGAGGGACTGAGGTATGGAGAGGTTAGGTCACTTGTTCAAGGACACCAAGCCAGTCAGGGTGCCACTGGACCTAAGACAAGGTAACCTGGCTCTGAGACCAACCCCACAGAGAAGTATGTGGATGCTGACAACACTGTAGGAAGTTACAAGGAGCAAAAGAATAGCAGCCTCAGCCCTGAATTCCACTGTAAGCTTCCCTCTAATCTTCCCTGCCTCACTCTCAATCAAATAAAGAGCTGATCAGGAAGCAACTATGCACGGTCTTCCCCTCCACACCTCCAGCCCCAGCTCCCTTCCCCAGACTCAGTGCCAGCCTGTGCCAGCCCCCAAGATGGCAGTGTGGAGCCATGCACTAGGTCTGCTGCGCACCCAGCAGTCGGCTGTGGGTTCTTTGCATCTGTCAGAGTCCTGGCAGGAAATGGTTTCATTCTCAAAGGGTTAACTAGGAAGAATTTAGTGAAGGGTCTGTTTACAAGGTTCAGGAACTAACTGAAAATGGTGAAGCCCCCAGGGACTGGCACTGGAGCTTCCCCACAGGAGCTGAGGCCAGAGAAGTATACATCCATTGTTGTTTTAAAGAGTGGTTAACTATCTATTTGCTCTTACTTCCAACATTTCTGCTGGGGCCTTGCATTGAGCAAACTCAACTGTAATCTAGAGAGGAGGGACTCCTGAGTGGCACATTCAGTGGGAGTCAGCTTCCTAGGGAATCATTTATTTATTTATTATTTATTTATGAGACAGAGTCTCACTCTGTAGCCCAGGCTGGAGTGCAGTGATGCGATCTTGGCTCACTGCAACTTCTGCCTCCCGGGTCCCTGTTCAAGCAATTCTCCTGCCTCAGCCTCCTGAGTAGCTGGGATTACAGGCATGTGCCACCATGCCCAGCTAATTTTTGTATTTTTAGTAGAGACGGGGTTTCACCATGTTGGCCAAGCTGGTCTTGAACTCCTGACCTTGTGATCTGACTGCCTCGGACTCCCAAATTGCTGGGATTATAGGCGTGAGCCACTGAGCCCTGCCTTCCTAGGGAATCTTGTAGGAAGGACAAAGGTAGAGAATCTGTCTGATGGCAGAAGCAAATGAATGCCCATCACATGCACTTTCCTCCAACAGAGCAACTCGGATGCTATGAAACAATGCTAAGTGAGTCTCAGTGTCTGTTGCAGTAATATTGTACATACTGTAGGTCTTAATCATAGGAAATTACATGCCCATTGCCCTGTGCGCGGACCGGAGCACACTTATGGGGGGCCCGTAGTCCTCCTTTCAGACATCTTTTGTTTCTCTGCCCAAACAAGTGGCCTTCCCATAGAAGACTGCCCAGAGAACCCTATGGCAACCCTACCCTCTTATTCCACTTTATTTTTCTTCAAAGTGTTTATTACTCCCTGTTGTTATGTTAGACTCTATATTTCTGTATTTGCTGTCCTCCAACTTGAAAAGAACCTCTGAGAGGGGAGGGACTTTCCTGGTCACATTCACTTGTCCCAGCACCTACGATGGTGCCTGACATATCTCAGGGGCTCCTTAAATATGTATTGCTTGACAATGGGTATCATGGCTCAGCCTCCTCTGGGGTTAGGAGGCTGGAGGAAAGAAACTTTAGCATGAGTGCAGTGAGAGTAAAAGAATCCAGCAGCTCTAATCAGGGAATGAATCTGGTGTGTAATAGGATCTCAAGGCTTGACTCCTAGTCTAAGACCATTTCTGGAGTTTGCTGACTTGATCCCCATGCTTCATCATTAGCACTTTGCAGGGAAGGAGCTGAGCGTGGATCTTGACTCCGAATTGGCTGGGGCAGGCAAAATCGGGGGCACGCTTGGTGTTGCCCAGGCTCCGCTCTGCCTAGACACACGTGAGGGCCAAGATCTGGTTTGTGTTTCATGAGCTCTCCCAGGATGAAGACCCAGCCAGGCTGTCTGAAGAAGGGGTGTTCTTGAGTAGGAGGGAAGGTCTGCTCCAATACGAAAAATCTAACAATAGCATAGTCCTTAAGAGCTTGAGCTTTGAAGAGGGAGAACAGACCCATTTAAGGCACGAAAAATAAAGGAAACTCTTGAGTCCCTCCAAGGAAAATTCCAGCCACCTGGCTAGCCTCAAGAAGTAGATGAGCACCCTGATAAGTAAGAAGGTAATAATAGCTTAAAACAATAGTCAAGAAAATTAGAGCCACGAACTAATCTTAAATGACGAGTTAATGGGTGCAGCACACCAACATGGTACATGTATACATACGTAACAGACCTGCACGTTGTGCACATGTACCTAAAACTTAAAGTATAATTAAAAAAAAAGAAAATTAGAGCCACAAAATGTTTGTTTCCCTATAGAAACTAGAGATAACATCTTAACATATGTCCCTGAGTTGTTTTGTAGAAATCCAGACCCCGCTAAATGGAAAATACCACCTGTTGGCTCGTAGATCTCAGATAAGGAGGAACTGAGGACTGAACTCTCACAACTGTTCTTTGTTCTAAATTTCTTTCTGAGGGACCTGGAGGAAGTCACACCCACAGGCCAGAGCAGAACATTCCTTTCTGCTGACCCCAAGTTTGTAGCCAAAACTTAAACAATCACAAATCAGAAAATCTTTGGGTTTTTGTTTGTTTGTTTGAGACAGAGTCTCACTCTGCTGCCCAGGCTGGAGTGCAGTGGCACGATCTCAACTCACTGAACCCTCTGCCTCCCAGGTTCAAACGATTCTCATGCTTCAGCCTCCTGAGTAGCTGGGATTACAGGTGCACACCACCACGCCCAGATAATTTTTGTATTTTTAGTAGAGATGGTGTTTTGCCATGTTGGTCTGGCTGGTCTCAAACTCCTGGCCTCAAGTTATCCACCCACCTTGGCCTCCCAAAGCGCTGAGATTACAGGTATGAACCACTGCACCTGGTCTCAAATCAGAAAATCTTTGAATTCATCTAATGTTCACCTATCCTGTGGGCCCTCACTTTGAGATATTTTGCCTTTTTTGGCCAAACCAATATGTAGCCTCCATGTATTGTATGACCTTGCCTGCAACCTCTGCCTTCCCACCTTTAAAAACCCTTACACATAAGCCATCAGGGAGATTAGGCCTTAAGGATTAGCTGCCTGATACTCCTTGCTTGCTGCCTGCAATAAATTCCTCAACTTCTGTCTCAGCAATGCCGATATCAGTGCTTGACTTTGATAGGCTGGGTGGGTGGACCCGAATTTGGTTTGGTGACCCTTTGAGCTTAGATTCAAAATTCTAGTTTTGTCACTCTGCAGTTTTGTGATCTTGAGCAAGTTACTTAACCTCTCTGAGCCTTGTCTGTCATGTGTAATGAAAAGAGCTATACTTACCTTGTGAGGTAGTCCTCAGGATTCAGTGAGATAATAAGTACTCACTAAACAAAACTCGTTATTACAAAAGAATCACTTTGTCTCTGAAGTGGGCAATTCAACCCATTTCTAGGAGATTTTAAACTTGATTTTAGATATTTGGTGTGATTTTGTGAATGGGTTTATCGTTAATAGCTTTCATGCTCCAGAATTTTCTTGAATAATAGGTTTTTGCAAAGTGCATTCCGTGGAATACTCATTTGGGTGACGTTAATAGACATCACTCAAAAGCTGGGTGAATATTACAATGTTTACTTCATCTGTAACAAGCTGAGTAGCTACAGTACATATCTAAGAGGGGGCTCTAATTCTCAATATTTTCCAGATTTATTAGATCACAGACTTTTCTTTTAGTGAAGTGCTTAATGAAACTTAAGTTCTGTGAAAAGTACTTTGAGAAATATTGCTTTAAAAAGAAAAAGATTGAGCCCTGTATCAGGGGAATTATCTAATATTATATTAAACAAAAAAGTCCCACTGAAGAAAATCATCTTATTGTTCATAGACCTTAGTTTAGGTATTGGGGCCAAAGGATGGATGACCATTTCAAATGATCCAGGCTAAACCAGCCTGGAGGAGAGCTCAAAGTCTGATCTGGTGAGTAAGTTGTGAAGGGAATATGATGAAAAAGTGCACTTCTATTGCAAAGAAATCACGAGCTAGGTTTATACGCTATGCTGTGAATGGCCAATAGATCATAAATTCAACAGTCTCCCTGTCACAGCTATGGTAATGATGACTGTTTAGGCCTTAGGGGAGCTTTAGGGAGAGGCAATTTCATACTTAAGTCACACTGACTTAAAAAGTGAAATATTTGAAATCATTGTTGAAATCACGTGGAGGTCGTCAGCAAGCAGGTGAGGTTGGAATGCCTATCATTTTCCTCAAGCTCACGTCCTCTCATTTTCTTATTTGAAAATCTATTTGGCTCAGAAAGTACACCTAGGGTTAGTCAAAAATCACCTCCTGATGTTCCTTTTAAAGGAAGCTTCCAAGTTATTTGAATAGCTTCCAAGTTATTCATCGAGAAACAAAGCAAATTCAAAGATTATGTCCGTAGGCACAAACTGGATTTTAAGAAATCCTGGCTGCATAAACAATTGTCTTATAGAAAAGAATTTCTGTTCCTCCTTTCCCTCCCCTTGTCAATCCTATTTCTTTCAGACCTGGGTTCAAACACTAGCTGTAGAGGCTATAAGCTATTGGAAGCACATTTGAGCCTGAAATAAACTGAACCTCTTCTGCCTTGGTTTTCTCACTTGTAAATGGGGATTTTTATGCCTACCTCAAAGGTACGTTGCAAGGATAGAGGGACAGAAAGTTCAGCAAGTGGCCAATGAATAGAAGTCTGGTTTTCTGAGCATCCTTGCAGCTGCAGGCTTCAGTCTACCAGAGAATGTGAGGTGTTATTCTTCTAGGGCAGTGGTTAGAAAAGAAAATGAAAGTAGCAGTACTCTTTTCCTAATTCAACCATAGATGGATGACCAGAATTTGTAATCCATAAGGTAGAAGCTGCTGTGCCTGAGGAAATAGAAAGTGGGCAGAGGTGGAGGGGCAAGGTAGGGAGTGGAGTGGAAGGTAGGGAGAGTTTGATCCTAGCCTGCACTGCTCCTCAGAGGTACTTTAGCCCCTTTGGAACAGTATTAGAAAATCATGGCTCTATCAACTCATGTCTGAAAATCAATTGCTATTTCAGAGCAGGAGGTGACCAATCTTGGAAATAAGGAAGGGAGAGAGGCAGCCAAGCCAGCAGCTCCTGGAGCCAGCTCTTGGAAGTTCCCCAGGAGCTGTCCAGTCTTATGTCATGTCTAGTCAGCAGAGTCCCAAAGAAGCTTGTCATTCTCTAGGCATTTGTGCTTACATTCTGATGGGCCTGATAGCAGGGAGATGACATGGAGCCCAGGCAGAACAGCTGAGATTTCTACTGGTCATGACCTCCATCTTCTCCTTCATACCTTTCCTACCTTTCTTTTTCCATGCATTCAACAGACATTTATTACCCAATAAGTGCCAGATAGTAAGCCAGGACCTGGGGAGAGCAGATGAGTAAGACACCGTCTCTGTCTCTCAGGAACTCTCAGATTCTTAGGGACACATGTACATCCTAATAAACACAGTGCATCTCATGAATGTGTAAGTTTAAATTATTGATATAGGCACACACAGACAGAGGGACTTCATTCCCTGCAGGTTCTGTAGTATTTCATGCCCTTGCTGCTCACATCATCCTGCCTTCAAGGAATTTGGGGGGATGGTAGACTGAAAGTGGCCCTTTCTGCATAATTCTTCTTGAAAATAAACATTTGATCTCTTCTTAGAGGCTGACTATACTGAGAGCTACCACTCCTTGGCTGCTTATTAGCCATTGGGTTATTGCTAAGCCCTTTACATATGTTATATCATTTAATTGTATTGAATCTTCACCATAACACTTCAATGGAAATATTTTTCCAAATAAGGAAAGGTGAGACTCAAAGTAGTTGTATTAGTCTGCATTGCTATGAAGAACTACCTGAAACCGGGTAACTTATAAAGAAAAGAGGTGGGCCAGGCGCGGTGGCTCATGCCTATAATCCTAGCACTTTGGGAGGCCGAAGTGGGCAGACCACGAGGTCGGGAGTTAGAGACCAGCCTGGCCAACGTGGTGAAACCCCGTGTCTACTAAACACACACACACACACACAAATTAGTTGGGTGTGGTGGTGCACACCTGTAATCCTAGCTACTCAGGAGGCTGAGGCAGGAGGATTGCTTGAACCCTGGAGGTGGAGGTTGCAGTGAGCCAAGATCACACCACTGCACTCCAGCCTGAGTGACAGAGCGAGACTCCATCTCAAAAAAAAAAAAAAAAAAGAAAGATGTTTAATTGACTCTCAGTTCTACAGGCCATACAGGAAGCATGGCTTGGGAGGCCTCAGGAAACTGACAATCATGGCAGAAGGTGAAGGGGAAGGAGGCACGTCTTACTTGGCTGGAGAAGGAGGAAGAGAGCTAAAGCGGGAGTGCTGTACACTTTTAAACAACCAGATCTCATGAGCACTCTATGATGAGACAGCACTGGGGGATGGTGCCAAACCATTAGAAACCACCCCCATGATCCAATCACCTCCCATCAGGCTCCACCTCCAACACTGGGGATTACAATTCAACATGAGATTTGGGTGGGGACACAGAGCCAAACCATGTCAGTAGCAAAGAGATTTTCCCACACAGCTAAAAAAAAAAAAAAATGGCAGAATCTGGATGTGTGCTTAGGTTTGTCTGATTCCCGGTACACTCCCCTATGCCATTTCTGATCTGCAAAGAACCTGATCCCAAAGCCTGATCCCAATATGATCCTAGAGCCAAGAGATGAGGCGTGAAGTAGCCACCTACTTTGTGTGCTTTCAAATCAGATATGGCAAGATTCTTTGAAAAATCAGTCAACTGGATTAAGCAATGCCTAAGTATGAAAGGATCCTTAGAGGAACTAAACCATTTCTTCATTTTGCTCCATGTTCTTTCTGTGGCTCTACCAAGTTTGTAGGTTAAGAACAAGGCATCAAAGCTTACTGAGTTTTTCTTCGACACTGAATTGACTCGTTTTCTCAAGAACAGGGAGTCATTGCCCTAGTCTCATCTCATAACATTTACGTTTCTTTCTTTCAACTAATGGAGATGGTGCTCCCTGCTCTCTCTAGGAGACCGCAGGACCTAGATGATAACCTGCATCCCTAATCCTAAAGGGAGCCTAAGAGCAGTAATGATGGCCCTCTATTTGCAATAGATTACACTTTTCCCATATAAAGCTCTTAGAACTGTCACTGTGAATGATGTGCTGATTGGAGATAATGGTGACAATGATAATTTTATAATTGCACTTTGTACCTCTCATCTCCTCCTGGAATCACAAAAGAATTTGTACATATCCCTTACTCAAAATAGATCCATTAGTTAAACTATTATAAGATAAAAAGGCTACAGATAAAATGCTGCCCATTGAGGCCCAGAGGGGAGAGAGCCAAGTGGACTTAGAAATCCCCAGCCCAGTGCGGTGGCTTATGCTTGTAATCCCAGCACTTTGGGAGGCCAAGGCGGGCGGAATACCCTGAGGTCAGGAGTTTGAGACCAGCCTGGCCAACACGGTGAAACCGTGTCTCTACTAAAAATACAAAAATTAGCTGGGTGTGGTGGTGGGCGCCTGTAATCCCAGCTACTCAGGAGGCTGAGGCAGGAGAATCACTTGAACCCAGGAGGCGGAGGTTGCAGTGAGCAGAGATCATGCCACTGCACTCCAGCCTAGGCGACAGAGTGAGACTCTGTCTCAAAAAAAAAAAAAAAAAAATCCCCATATCACCATTCACTGTCCTTTTCTCCAGAAAATACCCCATTTCATATAACTGTCTAAACAACGGTTTAAGGTCTACACAAGATTGTGAAGTGAACCTGCAGGATTAGGAGGGTAAGGATTCCCACCTAGGTGGGCTCACTTGCTCTGCCATACCTGGGTAGGATCCCAGCCTGCTTCTGTGATTGTCAGGAGGCACCAAAAAGGCTACCCTAGGTTTTCTGTCATTCGGCCCAAACATTTCCTCTGCTGGGCAAATGTGGAAGAGGCATTAAGCTGGTGCTCTCACAACTGAAAGGAAAGCAATTCTCTTTCTGTTGTGGTTCCTTCCTCTTTGGACTCTTTTCTTCCATTCCAGCCTATCCCCTTCTTGGAAAAGCTATTCTACCAATAGCAGGGAAGAAACAGCCCTGTGTACCTGATATGCTACCCTGGGCACAGGCGATCGGACCAGGGATAGACACCTGAACTGATCTGGGCAGATGCCCTCTTCTGGCCATTGAGAATTGACAGCATCAGACATCTAGAACATAATAGTATTTTAAAATTCTGCAGGGACATCCACCAGGCTGAGGGGGACCAATTTTGTTTTAAACATGTATCCTGAACTTGGCCGGGCATGGTGGCTCATGCCTGTAATCGCAGCACTTTGAGAGGCCAAGGTGGGCAGATCACTTGAGGTCAGGAGTTTGAGACCAGCCTGGCCAACGTGGCGAAATCCTTTGTCTATTAAAAAATACAAAAACTAGCCAGGCGTGGTGGTGTGTACCTGTAATCCCAGCTGCTGGGAAGGCTGAGGTAGGAGAATTGCTTGGACTGGGGAGGTGGAGGTTGCAGTGAGGTGAGATCATGCCACTGCATTCCAGCCTGGCCAACAAGAGCAAAATTCTGTCTCAAAAAAAAAAGTATCCCAAACTTGGAAGTAAAAATAGGATGACTGCACGTCTTTCTAATGCCGTACTGGAAGGTTGCCTAACAAACCACCAAAGCTTTTTTTAACTCTCTAAGGGAATGTACTTTTGTTTGACTTACTATTTACTATTGATTAGGGCCCAGACTCTGCCAAGTTACATGTTAATTTTTGTCTGGTAGAGATACAAATGATTTTTGTCCTGTAAAAAGATTTTATTGCTCTACAGGACATTAACGAGTGAGGTTTCCAAATTAGCAAACTTATGTCAGCATGCTGTTTCTGATGGTCTATCCAAATCTTTCTCCTTCCAATTCTCTTTTCAAACAGCTTTACCATCCTCTGGTTCTTTCTTTTGTGAAGTAAACAGATCTTTATACGCACTCCCTATAGACTTATATAAGAATCATGTTTTCACTTTTTGAAAATGATGCTTTGACAATTCCACTGAACAGGCTGGGGAAAATTTTATGAGAATTGTTGGATCCTGCTCAGAAGCAAAAAGATAAAACCAGGCTGTCCTCTATCATGGCTGATCTGGGGTTCATTCCCAGAAATGAGGGTCTTGGATCAGGGTCAAATATGTGGGTGGGGTGGGCTCAATTGCTGAGATACCCATCTCATGAGGAAGGATGGGACCCATATTATGGGAAACAAAACAGGAAGAATGAGAGTGAAAAGATTAATCCTTTCACTAAATTGGGAAAACAGGAGAAAGTGTTGGATAAAGAAGGAACTTTAGCACAATGAGCAGAGACAAGACGGTAAATGTTCCTTATCCAGTAATCTCTGATGAAAGGCCAGTGCTCACATCATTAGTAATGTCCAGAACTAATAATATCAGTAGTAGCAATACTCACAATGTAAATAAGTAGCTCTCATATTTTGATTGCCAATAGTGCTAGCAACCTTACATGTATCACTCTCTACCCCAGCCCTGTTAATTGGTACTATGATGAAGAAAGAGACTCAAAGAAAATAAATATGACTCACTCGCGTATTTTTACACAGCTAGAATTGCTACAGAAAGGATTAAAGCCAAGTCTATCCAACTCCACAGTCTATGTCCCTCCCTCCCTCCCTCCCTTCCTTCCTTGCTCCTTCCTTCCCTCCCTTTCTGCCTCCCCCCCACTTCCCTCCCTATCTCAAACATCTATTGAGTGTCTACCATGTGCCAGGCACTGTGTCAGGCTCTTGGGATACAGCAATAAGCCAAGTCCTTGCTTTCAGGGAGTTTACATTCCAGTGAGAGGGACACAGAAACAAATGTATCTCTATGGCAGCAAGTGCTATGAAGAAAATAAGCTTCATTTTTATTGTTTGACGCCCATCATGCAGGTTTCCCACAGTCCATCATCCCCACTCCACCCCCCACCCAATGTAGTGCTTTCCTCTGTCCTGGAGAATCGGAAGGACTTCACAGCAACATCTGCAGTCCCTTTGTTTCAGTGACTTTGGCACAGAGAAGCGGACACAGTGGCAGACAAGGCTGCTGGAAGCTGTCAGGCTACTGGCAGCCAAAAGCTTAATCACACGTTCCAAAGGCAGTGTGTGTGTGATGTTGCATCTCTGGCCCTGGAAGGGAGACAGAGGTCACCTTCTTGGGAGTCAGAGTTGGCCCCTCAGCTGCCAGGGGTGCAGCTGAGCAGCTTCAGAGGACTGACTGCAGAGACCAGGAAGGGGCCATTCACTCTGATGGGAATTGGGAATCATTGATGCTCGAGCAGGAGGTGAGTTAAAATTCATGCTAAGAAATCAGCATTCACATGTGTACATATTTAAGTCAGGATCTCAGTGAAGAGGGCATGACAGCAGTGAAAACAGGTGCCAGACCTGAAGTAGGCTACCTTATTGTTGCTGCTTCACCTGTTGCTCTACACACACACACACACACACACACACACACACACACACACACACACACAATTCCAGAAGATAGTAGGACAGTAGCAATTTGAAGGCTCTGCCTGAAAAGCATTTGCTTAAAGTGTTGGGAATTTTTTGTTGGATTGTTGTTTCATTCATAGGGCTTCTAAATTTCACTTTTGCATTTTAACCATTTCAAGGAATTCCCCCTGATTTTGAGTGTGAATGGGTATAAAAGACCAGGGGTTGTTAACCAAAAGCCTGGAACATTCAGGTGAATGGCTGTTCTGCAGAGAAGGAGGGAAACAGCAGGGTGAGATGGACGGCCAACCTTCAAAGTCCTTACACAGTCCCGGCCAGGATAATCTTTGCCTCTCCCTTCTACTGGGGAAAAGTCTGGATTGCTAAGACCAGGGTCTCTATAGTGGCATCTCCAACACTCAGGCCCAGCTTCACGGCTGGGTTCCTGTTTTTTCATTTGCTCATGCCCCTCAGTGGTATCATCTGACTCAGCTCCTTTCCCTCCTGTTGGGCCAGTACTTACAGTGGGTCTCCTGATGAAGCTGAGTTCATGGGTTCATGAGCCCAATTATCACCATGCTGACCGCACCACTAACCTGGCTCCGTGTAGTTGCAAACTTGGCTGCACATTGGAATTCCCAGGGAGAGTTTTAAACATCCCAACGACCAGGCTGCAATGAAATCAGACCGATGAAATTAGAATCTCAGGGGTGGAATGGGACTGGTAATTTACAGAATCTCTCCAGCTGATTCCATATTCAGACAAGTTAGAGAACCAATGCCCTCAGCCCTGAGAGTGAGGGCTGGTCTCATGAATCCATTCACACAGATGGAAGTGCATCCTCACAGGGGTCAGGCCTCACACAACATCGGGCATGTTGGTAGGCATATGCCTAAGTTTCTGTGCAATGAATGCATGCCTTACTGGTGATGCGTCAATAGCAAGGCATTCAGGGGAGAGAGTACCCTGCCTCAGTGCCTAGCATGAGACATGTATCCAGGACCATGTTTTTATTCCCATCTGATGGATGAGAAAACTGAGGTTCAGAAAGGGTAGGCAAAATCCCCTAGCTCACCTGGCTGGAAGGGGGCAGAACTTCCCTGTACGTGCTGAGAACACCACTGTTCGAGCAGAGGGGAAACCTCTGCAAATTTCACTCTGTGTTCAGTGGGTGACTTGCCAAAATGACTTGCCAAAGCCCTTTAGGGCCAATAAATTAGAGTGTTTGCATCAAATTTCCATGCACAAGAGCCAACTCAAAACCTTAGATCCAATTCCATTGGTTCTCATAGCTCTGAAGTGGACAGATGCTAGTAATAAATCCTACAGGCTGATGGCAGGACTTTGATATATAATATTAACTCTGATCTGCCCTTGGTGGTGGTCTGACTCAAGACAGAGGGAATATTAAAAGCAGTAGTAATCCTTTTAAAAGTTCCATGCGCTTCTGCCCAGATATCCAGGGTTTCTGGCTGAGTTAGCCTGCAGAAGCAATTGTGCCGATTAAGTGATGTTGAACCACGAGAAAGTGTCTTCCCACTTAGCAAATCAAGGGTCCGTGGGATGGAGAGAGAGGAGGGAATAGAGTTTGTCACTTGGGCTATACTGACCCCAGTGGTGATGTCTTCCCTTTGATGGGTGGTGTTGGGACAGCAAGGCAGTCATCATTTAGCCCACTAGTGCTAAGGCGGAAGGCATCCGCAGTGTGTGGTCTGGCATCCCCAGGCAAAGACGAGAGGATGGGCCCTGCAGAGTGTTTTGGGTTAGAAACAAGCTGAGTGAACTGAGTGTTTCTTCAGGGAGCGCACTACAGATGAGCCGACAAATCCACGACAGTGGGGAGTGAGGGGAGGCAGGGACACAAATCCACAGCTGACTCACCCGGCACATTCCCACCTTCTCAGCATAGAAAACCACAGGCACAAACTGACCAGAAGGCCATTCATCCATGGGTCTATCCCGTGCCTTGATCAGTCTCCCTAAATCCCACCTTTGCCAAAGTCACTCCAGTCTGTGAATTTTCCATGACTTCCTGATGCATATGGAAAGATGTTCAGACTCCCAATCTGAGGTCCAATGCTCTCCAGAATTCCATCTTTCCCTACCTTCCTGGAATCATTTCCCATTGACTTGCCATCTACCTGGGCAAGCTGGAATGGCTGCTTTGGCTGTCTTCTGAAAATGCCCTGAGGTGTCTCTGCCCCAGGCCTGTCTCCTCTGCCCCCAGAGCTGCCCAGGCCCCTGCTTCCTACAGAGACCAGCTCACAGTCTTCTTGTCAGTGGTCATCTAACAGTGGTCTTGTAAAAGCAGAGCAAGTTCCAATCTTATTTATAACATTCAGCAGTTTTTTTTTTTTTTTAGAGCTGATGTCTTGCTCTGTTGCCCAAGTTTGAGTGCAATGGCTCAATCACAGCTTCACTGCAGCCTTGAACTCCTGGGCCCTAGTGATCCTCCTGTTTCAGCCTCCTGAGTAGCTGGGACCACAGGCATGCACCAGCATGCCCACCTAAACACAGTCTACCTTTACGTGTGTGTGTCCATCCATCACCAGATGCTCACGGAAGGTAGGGCAGAAACATTTTGAAAAATAATTTTTACCTTTGAAGAGTAATCTTAATGATAACCTAGCAGGTGCTCAGATACATCAGGTCGATTCACTTCCTATGACTGTATAACAAATTACCACAAACTTGGTGATTTAGAGCAATGCCCATTTATTATCTCAGGGTTTCTATAGGTCAGAAGTTTGGGTGTTGCATGGCTGGATTGTCTGTTTAGGATCTCACAGGGTTGAGATCGGGGTAGCCAGGGTTGTTTCTCATCTGGGGCTCCAAGTCCTCTTTGCAAGCTCACTGGTTGTCAGTAGAATTCAGTTCCTGTGGTTGTAGGACTGAGGTCCCCATATTCTTCTTGCTGTTTGTCAGTCTGGGGTGCTCCCAGCAACTCAAGGCCACTCTCAGGTTGTTGACACAGGGTGCCAACATCTATCTTCAAAACCAGTAGGAGGATTTCTCTTGCACTGAATCTCTTTTGCATCTCTGACATTCTCAGTCTCTGACCTCTAGATCCAGATTTAAAGGGTTCACTTGATTCTGTGAGACCCACTCAGGACAATTATTTTGTTGTGCGTCCCTTTTTCTGGGAAGTGGGTCCACCACTTCTATCAGGTTCTTAAAAGGATCTGGGAATGTTCACCCATCACAGACATCCACACCAGGCCAGTTAAGTCAGAACTGCTGGAGATTCCACATTCTCCTGGGCAGCCTGGGTAGAGAACCACCTATGTGGAAGGAACACTGGGCTCCAAAGATAAGGGGCCTTGCATTTTATTTCATTACCAGTGTCTATTGGCTCTGAGACCTTACAGAAATCACTCAACTTCTCAGGGCCTCATTTGCAAACACGGATGATAATAGTAAGCTCCATCTCTCACGGTTGTTAGGAGGATTAAAAGTGTATAAAGATGCTCTGCAAGCTCTGAAATATTAGCCAACCGTCTTGTCAGTGTGAAGAGACACTGAAAAGTGAGGTGGGACACAGCATTTTAAGTGAAAAAGAAGGGAGAAGCTTATCTTTATCAAAGTTAAATATTAGATACTGAGTACTTTGTAAAGTCTGTTGCTGCTGGGGATCAGGCAAATTGTTATAACCTTCCTGGAAGGCAATTTCCCATAATTATCAGCAGTTTGCAGAATATCCAAGCCATTTGACCCTAAGATAATGTTTCTAGGGATTTCTCTTAAGGATTTAATCAAGGACACATACACAGATTATAGCAGTTCACAATTGGAACCCATCTATTTAACAATAAGGGATTGTTTAATTACACATGAAATATTATTTAAACATGAACATTATATTGCCTTTAAATATTTGACATGGAAAGAAGCTTAAAACTCAGTCCTATTTCCTTATCAATGTTCTATCAACAAGGGGCAGGAGGTGTCACCTCCTTGGGAATCAGAGTTGGCCCCTCAGGTAGGTGTTTGGAGCTTCCAGGTAGGGGCTGGGGACAAAGTGTGGATGGGGCACCTGCTGGACCTGTGGCGAGATCATCAGGGGTTGCTATTGGTCTCAGCAAGGGAGTGAGGCTGACCGGTTCTCAGCTGCATTTCAGAGAAGGATGAAATGCCCTAATCAGAAGTCAGCTCCCCTCATGACCCTGGAGGGAATTCTGCCCACTCACAGACCCTTTCTTATTCTGGGCCTCTGCTGTTATCTGGGTATTGCTCCCTGTCACAGTCAGTTTGGGGACTGATCCTCCAGGGAAGTCCTGGGACCTCTCGGCAGGCTGAGTGCTTCTCCTTTGTGACTCCCCTGCCATGGCGGTTGTGCCCCTTCTTACCTTCTACAGACACGACTTTTCATGGGCTTCTTCCTTTCTCCCCACCGGTAAATCACCACCCTTCAAAGGCAGGAACTGTCTCTATTTCATGTTAGTATCCTGCGGGCCTGGCCCAGAGTAGATACTCCAAAAAGCTTGTCCTGAACTGAATGGGCGTGAAGCCGGGGCCTGTTGCACTGTGTTGTTGTGGGGCGGGGTGACTTCCAACCACACTGGGAGCCATCTCCCTCTCTCATTCCGAGGGAAGAGTCCACAGCACAGATGGGCGCAACCCAATGTCAGGAGCTGACACTGTGATCAAAGAAAATCATTTCCATTGCTCCTGTAAACGAAAAGAGTCAAACTCAGTAAAATATTTGAAGAGATGTATTCTGAGCCAAATATGAGTGACCACGGCCCTTGCCATAGCCCTCAGGAGGTCCTGAGAACATGTGTCCAAGGTGGTCGGGGTACAGCTTGGTTTTATGCATTTTAGAAGGGCATGAGACATCGATCAAGTACATTTAAGAAATACACTGGTTTGGTCCAGAAAGGTGGGACCAAAGCGGGAGGAGAGGGGCGCTTCCAGGCTATAGGTAAATTTCAGTGAGTTTGTCTAAAGACCTGGGATCCATAGAAAGGAAATTTTCAAGTTAAGATAAAAGATGGTGGGGACCAAGGTTCTTTTGAAGTCTTATAGAGGCTGTCCTCAGAGACAATAGATGGCAAATGCTTCCTATTCAGATCTTTAAAAGGTGCTAGACTTGGCCAGGCACGGTGGCTCACACCTGTAATCCCAGCACTTTGGGAGGCCCAGGTGGGTGTGGATCACAAGGGCAGGAGTTTGAGACCATCCTGGCCAATGTGGTGAAACCTCATCTCTACTAAAAATATAAAAATTAGCTGTGTGTGATGGCGGGCATCTGTAGTCCCAGCTACTCAGGAGGCTGAAGCAGGAGAATTGCTTGAACCCGGGAGGCAGAGGTTGCAGTGAGCCGAGATCATGTCACTGCACTCCAGCCTGGGCAACAGAGTGAGACTCCGTCTCAAACAAAAAAAACAAAGTGCTAGACTTTCAGTTAATCTCTTTAGGATTGGGAGGGCCTGGAAGAAAAATATCTAGCTATGTTAATAGAGATTCTTTACAGATACAAATTTTCCCCCACAAAGGACAGCTTTGCAGGGCCATTTCAAAATATGGACAAAAAAGCCTATGTTTTGGGGTAAAATATTTTGATTTTCTTCCTTGTCTCATAATGTTATGACAGAGTCAGGTTGGAAAGTAAGTCACAATATATAGGGTTAAATAAAATCCATCTGATGAGAATTTATGGTTTGTAGGACATCACTCCCCAGACCCTTTAGATAGGGAATTTGGGTAAGATAAAAAAAAAAAAAAATCAGAGCTTAGTCTTCACTTGCAAGGGTGCCCCTGTCTTCCTCCACTCTCCATCCCCAAGCTGGGCTGGGATTTCTTGAGCCAGATGAGTTGAAGATGCTGCAAAGTTAAAATGGCCTTGCCTTCCTGCGCAGTCAGGTGGAGCACCCCCTTCCCTCATCTGGGCCTGCTGAGCAGGGTCTCACTGATCCCCGCACTGTGTGTCCCTTAGACCTTTCCTGAGACCCAGCCCTTCCCCTGGTGGAAGGGAGAATTATTTGAAAAGTGTGGGGTTTGGTGTCAGACAGACTGGGACCCAGGTCTAGGCTACTGAACCAGTGAGCTGTGTGGCTTTGTGCATGCTATTTAGACACTCTGAGTTTTAATTTCCTGATTTCTAATTGCCAGACAGGTTGGTTGGGAGGAACAGCTTAGGTTGACCTATGAAAGCATTTGTAGACTCGGAAGTGTTCACATGGCACTTTGGATCAAATCGTTCCTGCTGCTTCAAACTACTGTGTGATGAGTTTCCAAAAATCATTGCCTGTGATCTGCAGGCTCGTTGTATGTCACAGATCACCAGATGTGCTTCCATTCCATGCTTGCTTCTGCAGTCCTGTTCTAAGCTCTGGCCTAATATTCTTCCCGCCCACGGAGCTCTTGCCACTGCCTCACTGCAGAGACTGGAACCCTGTCCTTTAACTCCCAGCTCAGAGTGTAGGGAAGTGTTTCTCAAAGTATTCTCTGTGTTATCTGCTTCCAAATTGCCTGGATATTGGTTAAAAACCAAACCTCTGGTTCCCCTTCCAGACTTAAGGATGAGAATTGGCTGTGAGAATGAGTGGGAATCTATGCTGTTGTGAAGTTCCCCACAGGGATCTCCTGCATCTTAAGGCTCAAAGACCATGGACCTAGCCCCTGGATACTGGGCATAGGCATCTCAGATGCTGTCTGTTTCTTCACTTCCCTGACTGGCCTGGGCTCTGGGGTTGGGCCCTTCCCATTTCTGGATTTGTGATATTTGTCTTGTATCCCCTTTTATCATAGTGTGCTTTTGCTTACAAGTGAACAAAAACCCAATCCAAAATGATTTAAACAAAAAGAGCACTTATTGTAAAAGTTCAGAATAAACTGCCTTCAGGCATGGCTTGATCCAGGGGCGCACACTGTGTTACCAGGAGGCAGTTTCTCTCCGCCTCCTCACTTGGCTACATTTTTCTCTCACTTGTGCATCCTGAGCCATTCACAGAGCTCAGGAGGATGAGTGTTCTGATGGAGCAGGGTATGCTTGTGGTTAGTGCCATCAAAAACAGAATGAGATAATGATATGGCTCAGATGACTGGAGGAACACCAGGGTTCTTGGTCTAGCACACGTTTGGATAAAATGACACGGACACACCTGGAGTGGTTTTAAGGAGCGAAAAGTTTAATATACAAGAAAGAAGGAAGGAAGAAGAAAACAGCTCCCCAGTACAGAGACAGAGGGAGAGGGGATTTGAACAGAGAGAAAACCCCGGTGGGCAGAAGGGATGTGGGGGGAGGGCGTGTGTGTGGTGTAATCAGCTAGTTATATGAGGAGGCTGGAGGAGACGGTGCTGGCTTGCATAGGGCTCAGAGGATTGGTTTGACCAGGCATGTCATTCACATAGCCTGCGAAAAAGCTGGCCCTCACACTCTAGCCTTTTAAGATGCAAATGCAGGGCGCCATGATGTTCTACACACGTGGGGATATGTGGGGGTGGCCATGTTGCCAGCTACCTGTTGGGGCAAGGAAGAAACCTGGAATCTCCATGTTTGGGTGGACTCAGTTTCCAGTGGCCTGCATTTGCATATCAAAGCTTGCCAGTGGCTCTTAGAGCTGGCGCTCTCCTGTTAGACGAGAAAGGTTTCTGGATCTGCTTTAAAAGAAACAAAAACTTCCCAAGGACCTCTTTTCCTCTCTATCTGCCTAAAATAATTTCTTAATAACTTCTATAACAATAAGGGGGTGGTCCATTCCCACATGTAAATTGAGGCTTTTCCCAGAAATAGGGTGAATAGATGCTGAGTTACCCCAGTCAGCAAATGTCCATTTATCTCATTTGTGAACTCTGGACTCTGCACAGAGACTGTGGTGACACAGGCTGTCCTGTGACCCTGTGGCTGGGTCAGCTCCTGTGTCTGCGACAGGATGCCCTGAGTCCGCATGGATTCCTCAACCCCACACCCTGTCCTACTCTTAGTCAAGTCAGCCATGCCCCTCTGAGGGCTACGCTGCTTCAATAGGCCTGGCTTCCTAAGTACCTTTCATGATCACCCAGGCTCATACCCAGAAGCAAAGCAGAAATTTCTTTTGAGATCCAGGGTGGGAAATGGTCAGTTGAATTGAGTTGCAACCGAAGGTGAGGAAACGTCTTTTATGAAAACCCATTTCCCTCTGTCGGAGGTGATTTCAGTCACATTTTCCAAGCTCAGGATAATTTACCCCCTACCAGGGTGCACTGCAGAAGGTCTGGCTGGAAGGCCCCGAGCACAGGAGTTGATTGCTAGCTGCTAAGAGGCTGCGCTTTGTTCCCGAAGGAGAAAGCTGCAGGTTAAGAGAACATTCCCCACCTTGCCAGGGGTGACAAAGCAGGGGACTGCTTGAGGGCTGACACTGGAGTTAGAGATAATGAAAGGAGAGGAGCAAGAAGAAGCCAGGGCCTGGCTCGGCATCTCACCGCATTGGTGGGGAGAGGAGCTGTTCACCTTCTCGCACCTGTTGTTGGGCTGAGACAGATTTTCAGAGAGCAATGCCTCCTGGACAGAGGCTCTTCCCCACAGGGCAAATGTAATTAGTTGAGAGAAAAACAAAGTTCTGAAACCCTAATTAGGTGCAAAGCCCTCAGGCTTTATACATCTAAACAGCTAAGGAACAGAGGATAAGATTCTCCAGTCGGCACTCCCTTGCCAGTCCTGGCTGAGCTAATGGTGAAGTGAGAGCTGTGCCACAGATCCCATGGTTGGCTTTTTGTTGTTGTTGTTATTTCAGACGGAGTTTCACTCGCCACCAGGCTGGAGTGCAGTGGTGCAATCTTGGCTCACCACAATCTCCGCCTCCTGGGTTCAAGTGATTCTCCTGCCTCAGCCTCCCGAGTAGCTGGGACTACCAGCGCCCGCCACCATGCCTGGCTAATATTTTGTGTTTTTAATAGAGACGGGGTTTCACCATGTTGACCAGGCTGGTCTTGAACTCCTGACCTCAGGTGACCTGCCCACCTCAGCCTCCCAAAGTGCTGGGATTACAGGCGTGAGCCACTGCACCTGGCCCCGTGGTTGGCTTTTACTCCTTCCATTCTGCCACCCTGAAGCTGATCCTCTGGAATTTGCTTGTTTTTGGTGTGTCCAGAAATGAAGGTCTATCAGCTCTTGAAATTGGGTTGTTTTAAGTAACTGATGTGCCGGGATGACAGTGAAGAAGACAAGATAGGGATTCCTCTTCCTAAACTTTAGGGCCTGAAGGGACTCCTCATTGACAGCAGATGGGATTTTTAATTTCACTCTGGGATGGAGGAAGTGGAGAGGTGATCCAGGCTGGATTGAAATCTCTCAAGCCTGGGAGATTTTGCCCAAAGACTTGTGACATGGGAACAGTAGAAACATTGGGAAAATTGGACTTTCAGGTCAGCATTCTGGGAATTTCCCCAGTCTTCCCAGGGTGGGATCATCTGGCCCCAGTTATGGGAATAATTCCACATAAATAGAAGATGACTTGGGAAGTCAGGGAGGAGGTGGAGGACCACTGTTCTGATCAGCCTCCTTCAACCTCACAGTGGGGTTGGTCTCAGATGGTGCCCAGGAACCTGCCAGCAGCGGCACTTTGATGGCACCAAGATCGTGGGTGCAGGGACCCAGAATTGCTTCCTACTCATGTCTCCCAAGCCACTGAAAAATGGAATATCAGTGAGGAATATCTTAGAGGGCTGCCTTTGCTCCTTTTGCCAGAGAACCAATATTGGTTATGAACAATTGGGCCGCATCTGGAGTGCAGAAAAATGAATATTTTAATAGTGCTTCATAGGGTATCGTAGCATCTTATAAAAAGTGGCCCATCAAATTATTGATTCAATCATTTAAAATGCATTAGCAGGGGATGCCTATCAGACTAAGACATCCGTGTTTCTGATCCAGTGAAAAGGGTCCAGGTAAGGAACACATATTAAGCCTCTTGGCATCCTTGTGTGAGCACGGTGCATGACGTGGCCGTCAGTATCATTGTTTTCTTTGAGTTTTTGCTTGAGTGTTGAGATGTGTGAGGGATAGAAGATCCTTATTTGCTTCTAGTCCTGACCTACACTGTCCATTAGGGAAATAATTTGTTTTCTTGAACCCATCATACGAATAATTTTGTTTTTAATCAATAGAAACAAATGGTCTTTATTTAACTAACAAAAAATTCCAATGAGGCCAGGCCACATAGGGGTTTCTGTAAATGTCATATCATTTCTGTTCTGTCCCCTCAGCTAAGAGTATAAAAAGTTCAGGCTACCTCCAGGGGCTTTTGCCTACTTAAATAGTATTACTTAGAGATGAGCTAGTACTTGGTTTTAAAAGTAATTTTTTTTTCTTTTTTGAGACGGAGTTTCGCTCTTGTCGCCCAGTCTGGAGTGCAATGGCACAATCTCGGCTCACTGCAAGCTCCGCCTCCTGGGTTCAAGAGATTCTCCTGCCTCAGCCTCCCAAGTAGCTGGGATTACAGGTGCCTGCCACCATGCCTGGCTAATTTTTGTATTTTTAGTAGAGACAGGGTTTCTCCATTTTGGGCAGGCTGGTTTCAAACTCCTGACCTCAGGTGATCCGCCTGACTGAGCCTCCCAAAGTGTTGTGATTACAGGCGTTAGCCACTGCTCCTGGCCCTAAAAGTAACATTTCTAAGCTTTGTACTTACGACACCAAAAACACACAGACTGACATCTAAGTAATTAAGTCAACCATTAAGATGTTTAGTTATGTCATGCAAAATAATAATCTCCAGTGAGTTCTCAAAGAATTCAATAGTTTGATATTATTGCCAGCCCAGCCCTTACTGAGTCCTCTTATAAATCTTAAAGAAAAATGTAAGATTTTTAATTTTTAAAGATTTAAAATTTTTTAATTAAATTTTTTTTTTTAGGGCTGGACTCTTGGTCTGTCATCCAGGATAGAGGGCAGGGATGCCATCACTACCCACTATAACCTCAAACTCCTGGGCTCAAGCAATCCTCCCACCTCAGCCTCCTGAGTAGCTGGGACTACAGGCATGCCCCACCACATTCGGCTAATTTTTAAAATTTTTTTGTAGAGACAGGGTCTCACTATGTTGTCCAGGCTGCTCTCGAAATCCTGGCCTAAAGTGATCCTCCTGCTTCAGCCTCCTGAGTAGCTGGGTTAGATCCTGGCAAATGAAAGGGCCCCCAACTTTGAACTACCTTTGGGGAAGATCTCACTGTGTTCCCTTTGGGGACTGAGGATGTGGTTCAAGAGAGAAGAGTGCACTCTAGGCAAACCTGCTAATTCTGTTCCTCAAAAGAAGGCAGCGAGAGGAGAGAAAATGCATTTCTGTTTGCTGCCTAAAGATTTATTTGCTTGTATTCCTTCGGGAAATGGAATGACTCTGTGTGCCTGGGTTATAGTTGATGGAATAAAGCATCATTTTATGCTGTACCTGAGAAATAATATCTGAACCTACATAAAAATAATAAAGTGGGTCAGCTCCCTCTGGGAATGTTCTGTGTCTGCCCCTGGACTCCCACTTCCATGAATATATGTGGATAATGCCTGCCATTACTTTATAGTTATGGGCCTGTCAACCCTATACGTATTAATACATCCCTAGGCTTTCTTGTAGTTCCATAAGGTAATAAAAACAGTTTTAACAGAATGCCATATATCCAGTTGGACATTTCTTAAAAACAAAACACTCTCTGCTGAATTATAAACTGTTGCACAGGATAGAGGCTGTTTTGCAAGGGCCACCGCCTACCCGCCCCCACCCAGCCTGGCCCCCCTAGTATCAGGGCTTAAGCTGGGGCAGGACTGGCCTGTTGGTGATGCCTGTGAGTCTGAGTTCAGATGACTCTGGAATAGTCCTTGGTTCTAGGGCCCATTCTACACTGCTGAGTAGTTCCTGCCTGCCCACCTTTGCTACTCTTTCACTTTATGACTTCAGGATGATTTTTTTTTTTTTTTTTTTTTTTTTTTTTTTTTTTTTAGACAGAGTCTTGTTCTTTCCCCCAGGCTGGAGTGCAGGAGTACAGAGGCATGATCCCAGGTCACTGCAACCTCCGCCTCCTGAGTTCAAGTGATCCTGCCACCTCAGTTTCCCGAGTAGCTGGTATTACAGGCATGTGCCACCACGCCCGGCTAATTTTTGTATTTTTAGTAGAGATGGGGTTTCTCCATGTTGGCCAGGCTGGTTTTGAACTTCTGACCTCCAGAGATCCACCCACCTCAGCCTTCCAAAGTGCTGGGATTAGAGGCGTGAGCCACTACGTCTGGCCTGAATTTTTTTTCTTGAGTCCTTGGTCTCAAATTGAAAAAAAAGAAAAAAATAAAATAGCCATCACCCCATTGACCCTGAAAGGAATGGCTCTGTTAAGTACCCATTACGTACCAGCCACTGCTGTCGGCACCTTATGTGTTTTAAGTCATGACATATATCATCATAGTAACCCCAACGAGGCAGCTGCTGTCATTGTTTCTACTTTGCATATGAAGAGGGTGAGGGACTGATGGGATAGGTCATGTTCCCAAAAGCACATGATCAAGACAGAAGTCCAGGCGGTCTAGCTCCAGAACCTAGCTCTTCATACACTAGCGCCTCCATCAGGAGCAGTTGCTTATAATATGCCTGGGACCCTTAGAAACACAAGACCAAGGAAGCTTCCTGGATTCCAAGCTGCTATATTGCCTCTGTAGCTCCCTCAAAAGGCAATTTTATTCACTGAAACTAAACAAGGCCAGTTGCTGTGGCTCTGGCCTGTAATCCCAGCACTTTGTGAGGATGAGGTGAGAGGATCATTTGATCTCAGGAGTTTGAGACCAGCCTGGCCAACATGGGGAGACCTGTCTCTTCCTAACTAACTAACTAACTAACTAACTAACTAACTAACTAAATAAATATTAGCGGGATATGGCTGGCCAGCTAGTCAGGTCCCAGCTACATGAGAGGCTGAGGCAGGAGGATCCCTTGAGCCTACGAGATCGAGGCTGCAGTGAGCTGTGATAGTGCCACCACTACACTCCAGCCTGG